>NC_000008.11:3082850-3385135 GCF_000001405.40 Homo sapiens | reverse complement strand
TATATATTTATATATTATATATATTTTTATTTATATATATATTTTATATATAAATTATATATATATTTATATATTATATATTATATATTTATATATTATATATATTATATTTATATATTATATATTTATATATAAATAGCATATGTATTATATATGCTATATATGCATATATATTATATATTATATATGCATATATTATATATTATATTAGCATATGTAATATATAAGCATATATAATATATATTATATATTTGCATATATAATATATATTTACATATAAATAGCATATATAAATATGTATACTATTTTATTTAATTATATATTTATATATAAATAGCATATATTAATATATATTATATAAATATATATTTATATAATTTATATAAATATATATTTATATAATATATATAAATATTATAAATATATTTATATATAATTTATATAAATATATATTTATATATAAATAGCATCTATATTAATTTATATGTATATAGCAATATATAAATAGCAATTTGCAAATATTTAAAAATTAATTTGGAAAAGAAATGCTCCAAATGGATACGAAATATATTTTTGAGAATAATAAGGAAGGACTGTCCCATGTTGTATCAGAGCATATGAAAAACTAATGATAAACCGAACAATGTGGAATTGGTATGGAAATACACAAATATATTAGTGCAATAGCGTAAGGATTCTAGTAACAGATCTTTGTCTGTACAGAAACTTAATTTATAATATAATTATTCCATTTTGTAGAAAAGGGATATCCTATTAAGACATAGTGTTGCTCAAATTGGATGCCTGATTTGATTTAAAAATGTTTAAAAATGTACATGAAATAAGTTACACATTGATTGAAGATATAAAGATTCAAAACTTAAAATTATTATGTGAAAATTTAGACTATCTCTCAGACAACCATTTTTTAAAGATGTCTACATATTTATTTATTTCTACAAGTATAAGTGTGTAGCTCAATGCATTTCCCAGAGTAAACATGTCCCTGTCAGCTCAAGACCATGTAGGTCACTAAACGAACTTTTCCAGGACTCCACACTTCGCTTTCACAGCCTCGCCCAGTCACTGCCTCCCAGGGTTGAACCTTAATTGTCTGGCACTAGTGGTTATGTAAATAAATGAAATTATCCAGGGAAGGTCCTGTTTGTCCAGCTTCTTTCCTGCAACCTTAAGTCTGTGGGGTCCATCCATATTATGGCAGTTAGCTGTGTTTCGCTGCTTCTCATCATCTAATATTATTGCTTAAACATATCAAAAGTTTTTATTTCATTCTACTGTTTGCTGACATTTCAGTTGTTCTGAGCACATTTTTGTATATTTATTGGACATTGATGTATCATCTCTTATAAAGCATCTCTTTCTTTGCTTCCATTTCTATTGGGTCACATGCGTTTATCTTACTGAATTATAGGTGTTGTGTAAATATTTAGATACAGTTCCTTCGATCTACACATTGTAAGTCTTTTATTCTGGAGTTGTTCTTCTCCTTCTCTTATTGGCATCATTTCGATGAATAGAAATTTTTAATTTTAAGATAGTCCCATATTTCACTGTTTTCATTCGTGCATGAGGTTTTCCTAGTGTGGAAGAAGGCTTCCCTCCATGCATGAGGTTTTCCTAGTGTGGAAGAAGGCTTCCCTCCATGCATGAGGTTTTTCTAGTGTGGAAGAAGGCTTCCCTCCATGCATGAGGTTTTTCTAGTGTGGAAGAAGGCTTCCCTCCATGCATGAGGTTTTCCTAGTGTGGAAGAAGGCTTCCCTCCGTTCAGAGTAATGAAGACATTCTGTTGTTCTCTCCTAAAAACTTTAAACATTTTAACAGCTTTATTGAGGTGTGACTGAAATGCAGTAAACTGCATGTTTAATGTGAACAATTTGATGCGATTTGTGATACATATGAACATCTATGAAAGCATCACCATGATCTATAACTTGTTAATCACCCCTAAAAGTAAAAACTTATGTTTATCTTTTAAATTTATAACTTCAATCCATCTAAAAATTTGTGGATTTGTGGTAAGGAACGATGTAGTGTCCAGATCCATTTCTTCTCCAATCTGGCTATCTACATGCGCTGGCATCATTGGTATTTGAGATCCTGTTTCTCCTCTCATTGTTCGGCTGACTTTGTCACAGCGTTTAAGTGGCCATGCCTGTGAGCATCATGTTTTCTTTGTCATTTAGTTTTGGGTTTTTTTGAGAAATCTTAGTTTTTAAATCTTGGAAAACTAAAGAAATCCAGAAACAGTAAATGAAAAAACATTGATCAATTTTGCTATATGCACACTAAAAGTTATTCTATTAAAGATGTAAAATAAAGGGTCAGACAACCAAAAATAGTTGCATTCTCCATGTAATATACACATGAAATAATCATACTCTGCTACTGGAAGAGAGAAGAAATGCAACACTAATAAGCCAACAGATCTATGAGAAAATGAGCTATGCAGATACATTTTATATCTATCTCTATATAGAGAGAGATATTTATATTTATATTTATTATTATATATTATATAGAGATATTTATATATCTATTATAGATATATATAGAGAAAGACATAATGCTAATAATAAATATATATTTATATAAATTTATATATATATAAATTTATATACATAACTAATTAAATATATAGATTATATATAATATATTATATATATTATATTATATATGTTATTATATAATATATTATGTGTTATATATTATATAATAACATATATATAACTAATTACTAAAGTTATTGGAATGCTAATAATAAATATACATATATAAATTTATATATATATATAAATAACCCTAACCCAATAAACTTTAAAAAATATTCCAGTGCTGACTAGGAATCAGAAGAATGCAAATAAATAATAACTTTTTCCCTTTCCTGCTGGAGCACAGTGACAGGATCTCGGCTCACTAAAACCTCCGCCTCCCAGGTTCAAGCGATTACCCTGCCTCAGCCTCCCGAGCAGCCGGGATTACAGGCTCCCACCACCATGCCCAGCTAATTTTTGTATTTTTTAGTAGAGACAGGGTTTTGCCATGTTGGCCAGGCTGGTCTCGAACTCCTGACCTCAGGTAATCTGCCTGCCTCGGCCTCCCAAAGTGCTGGGATTATAGATGTGAGCCACCGCGCCCAGCCTGATACATTCTTTTTAAAGGAAAAAATAAGAGGTAATAGAACAATGCATGTTGTGTATATGCATATACTGTATAGATATATGTAATTGCAGGTACACACAGAATTGCATAGAAATTGACTGAAAATAGACATTCTAAAATTGTAACTCTCATGCTCGCCTCTTCAGAGATAACTAGGCTGTAGCGTGGGAGCAGTGAGATTTTTTATTTTTCACTCTACATTTTTTGGTATTATTTGAATTTATGTTACTGAGTCTTATTTTTGTAATTGGAACTCTAGTAATGAAAAATAAATAAACTACATGTGTCTGTATAATTTTTAGTGTCAGAAGGATGATAACTACTGGCTAATTATAATTTTGTAAAACTCAAGGATGTCATATAGACGATGCAAATATTTGTCATATTTTTGGGTTCTATATTAAAAATATTTGCAATAAGAATGATAACCCTTAAAATATTCAAGTTTTCTTCATGTGTAACTGAACTTGAATCTGTTTGATGTTTTATTAAATTACCCTAAATTTGCAATAGAATAAGTTAATTGTATCAATAATTTTACTTGAATGTTTATGTGCCATGCAAACACATATGGCTTTCTTGGATGATACTGTGCATTTTTAATAATTTATTTTTGTTAATTTGGACTATAGACAAAAATAGAATTTTAACATAGGGTGTGTGTAAGCTGCTCTCTTTTTTTTTTCATGTGGGTAGATCTGTTGAACAGGTACCGACATGGGGCTTGTCAAGTTGTTTTACTTGCAGTCATTTTAGTCATACCTGTAAAGATTGAAAAGTTGTAGTACTCTGAATGTAAGGTGATGGGTGAACGCACCCTGTTCATCATAGCACAGTCATTGAATTACGTATGCTCTTGATCTGGTAATGAAAACTGATATACCCAAGCAAGAGACTTTGCCTGACTCATTTGAGATACATAATTTTGATTGTAAGTGAGGTTTTTCTCAAAACAACCTTCTCACATACCTGTGCATTCAAGTACCATCCCCAAATTCTTCTTTGAGCATTGGTAACTTACTTTTTAAAATATTTTACTATCTAACCAAAACTTTTTTTTTTTTCATTATACTTTAAGTTCTGGGACACATGTGCGGATCGTGCAGGTTTGTTACATAGGTATACACACGCCATGGTGTTTTGCTGCACCCAACAACCCATCATCTACATTAGGTATTTCTTCTAATGCTATGCCTCCCCTAGCCCTGCATTCTCCGAACAGGACCCAGTGTGTGATGTTTCCCCAGCCTGTGTCCATGTGTTCTCATTGTTCAGCTCCCTCTTATGAGTGAGAACATGTGGTGTTTGGTTTTGTATTCCTATGTTAGTCTACCGACAGTGATGGTTTCCAGATTCATCCATGTCCCTGCAAAGGACATGAACTCATCCTTTTTTATGGCTGCGTAGTATTCCATGATGTATATGTGCCACATTGTCTTTATCCAGCCTATCATTGATGGACATTTGGGTTTGTTCCAAGTCCTTGCTATTGTGAACAGGGCTGCAATAAACATATGTGTGTATATGTCTTCATAGTAGAATGATTTATAATCCTTTGGGTACATACCCAGTAATGGGATTTCTGAGTCAAATGGTATTTCTGGTTCTAGATCCTTGAGGAATCACCACACTGTCTTCCACAATGGTTGAACTAATTTACACTCCCACCAACAGTGTAAAAGTGTTCCTGTTTCTCCACAGCCTCTCCAGCATCTGTTGTTTCCTGACTTTTTAGTGATCCCCTTTCTAACGGTTGTGAGACTGTGTCTCACTGTGGTTTCGATGTGCATTTCTCTAATGACCAGTGATGATGAGCTTTTTTTCTTATGTTTGTTGGCTGCATAAATGTCTTCTTTAGAGAAGTGTCTGTTCATATCCTTCACCCACTTTTTGATGGGGTTGTTTTTTGTTGTAAATTTGTTCAAGTTCTTTGTAGATTCTGGGTATTAGCCCTTTGTCAGATGGATAGATTGCAAAATTTTTCTCCCATTCTGTAGGTTGCCTGTTCACTCTGAGGTACTTTCTTTTGCAGTGCAGAAGCTCTTTAATTATATCCCATTTGTCTATTTTGGATTCTGTTGCCATTGCTTTTTGGTGTTTTAGTCATGAAGTCCTTGCCCATGCCTATGTCCTGAATTGTATTGCTTATGTTTTCTTCTAGGGTTTTTATGGTTTTAGGTCTTATGTTTAAGTCTTTAATCCATCTTGAGTTAATTTTTGTATAAAGTGTAAGGAAGGGGTCCAGTTTCAGTTTTCTGCATATGGCTAGCCAGTTTTCCCAACACCATTTATTAAATACGGAATCCTTTCCCCATTGCTTGTTTTTATCACATTTGTCAAAGGTCAGTTGGTTGTAGATATGTGGTGTTATTTCAGAGACCTCTGTTCTGTTCCATTGGTCTATATATCTGCTTTGGTACCAGTACCTTGCTGTTTTTGTTACTGTAGCCTGGTAGTATAGTTCGAAGTCAGGTAGCACGATGCCTCCAACTATGTTCTTTTGGCTTAGGATTCATTTGGCTATATGGGCTCTTTTTTGGTTCCATATGACATTTTAAGTAGTTTTTTCTAATTCAATGAAGAAAGTCAATGGTAGCTTGATGGGGATAGCAATAAATCTATAAATTACTTTGGACAGTATTGCCATTTTCACAATATTCATTTTTCCTATCCATGAGCATGGAATGTTTTTTTATTTGTTTGTGTCCTCTCTTATTTCCTTGAGCAGTGGTTTGTAGTTCTCCTTGAAGAGATCCTTCACATCCCTTGTAAGTTGTATTCCTCAGCATTTTATTCTCTTTGTAGCAATTGTGAATGGGAGTTCATTCTTGATTTGGCTCTCTGTTTGTCTATTATTTATGTATAGGAATGCTTGTGCTTTTCGCACATTGATATTGTATCCTGAGACATTGCTGAAGTTGTTTATCAGCTTAAGGAGATTTTGAGATGAGAAAATGGGGTTTTCTAAATATACAATCATGTCATCTCCAAACAGAGACAATTTGACTTCATCTCTTCCTATTTGAATGCGTTTTCTTTCTTTCTCTTGCCTGAGTACCCTGGCCAGAACTTCCAATACTGTGTTGAATAGGAGTGGTGAGAAAGGGCATCCTTGTCTTTTGCCAGTTTTCAAAGGGAATGCTTCCAGCTTTTGCCCATTCAGCATGATATTGGCTGTGGGTTTGTCATAAATAGCTTATTATTTTGAGATATGTTCCATCACTACCTAGTTTATTGAGAGTTTTTAGCATGAAGGGGTGTTGAAGTTTATTGAAGGCCTTTTCTTCATCTCTTGAGATAATCATGTGGTTTTTGTCATTGGTTCTGTTTAAGTGATGGATTACGTTTATTGATTTGCATATATGGAACTAGCCTTGCATCCCAGGGATAAAGCTGACTTGATCATGGTGGATAGGCTTTTTGATGTGCTGCTGGAATTGGTTTGCCAGCATTTTATGGAGGATTTTCACATCGGTGTTCTTCAGGGATATTGGCCTGAAATTTTCTTTTTTTGCTGTGCCTTTGCCAGGTTTTGGTATCAGGATGATGCTGCCCTCATAAAATGAGTTAGGGAGGAGTCCCTCTTTTTTATTGTCTGGAATAGTTTCAGAAGGAATGGTACCAGCTCCTCTTTGTACTTCTGGGAGAATTCGACTGTGAATCCACCTGGTCCTGGGCTTCTTTTAGTTGGTAGGCTATTAATTACTGCTTCAATTTCAGAACTTGTTTTTGGTCTATTCAGGGATTCGACTTCTTCCTGGTTTAGCCAAGACTATTTTCTACTCTACCCAGCAGGTGACCTAGAAAATAAAACTTATTAATTGAATGTCTTCCTCTCTTCTTACCAACAATCAAACACATCCAATATTCAATACCCTTCTTCATCCTTACATGTTGCATTATTTAAATCATTTTCAACCTCCAAGACCAGGTCACACTCAGCCTTGATGAGCATTCCTCTGGAATTGCTCCAGGCCATGACGGCACTGACTTTTCTGACCTCAATTCTTTTAATATTCAGCTCCATAAAGTTAGATAGAAAGAGAGAGAGAGATAATATAACATGTGTTTACAACTTATATTGAATATATCTTAGACTAATACATTTTACATACTCAATACAGTCAGTTCAGTTTGATTTTAAGCTCCCAGGGGGTAGTAACTGAGGAAACATTCATGGAAAGTACAGCCCTTAACCTGGTGTTTCCGTTTTGGGTAGGATTTCCCAAAGTAGCCAGCATGTGAACAGGCATCCCAGGATATGAGCAGAATTACCAGGAGTTGATAGGTGCGGTACAGTAAGAATTCCTGGAGGTTTAGCAAAGTAGGTTTAATGGAAACTGAGTGAAGGATCAATAGGAAAATGATTTAGGAGAAACGGAGTGGGAATAGACCAAAAAGAGCCAATAGGTTTTGCAGTACAGGAATTGAGATGCTATAGGGATGCCAGTTATATGGGTGGCATTTTCCATAGAAAATAAAAGTACACTTAGCTTATTCATTTTGTTTCTTTATTGTCTGTCGATATAAATGTATGTAAATTTGAGATTTAAACCTTTCGAAGGAATCAATAGCATGACTGTAATTTGCAGCACTGGAACATGTTTCTCAGTATAAAGAATTTGTGGTAAAAATCTATTAATAAGCCAGGCATGGTGGCTCATGCCTGTAATCCTAGCACATTGGGAGGCTGAGGTAGATAGATTGCTGAGGCCCAGGAGTTCGAGGCCAGCCTGGGCAACACAGTAAAACCCCATTTCCACACAAAAAAACACAAAAATTAGCTGGGGGTATTGGCATGTGCCTATAGTCCCAGCGGTTCAGGACGCTGAGGCAGGGGGATCACTTGAGCCCAGGTGGTCAAGGCTGCAGAGAGCCAAGATCACACCACTACACTACAGCCTGGACAATAGAGCAAGACTCTGTCTCCACAAAGAAAGAGCTATTACTAAATCTACAAATTTTGGGTGATGTTAGAGTTTGATATGGGAGTTTCAGTCAGTCATGTTTGATAGTTTTCATCCAACCATAAGGCTTGTTCTCATTACCCTTCAAATCTTAAGCAATCTCTTAAACCCCATGGGTTTTTCGTGCAACAAAAGTTACATAAGTAGGATATTTAAACCTTTAAACATTCATAGCTTTCAGAAAAGAAAAAAAAATAATTATAATATTGTATATCAACATGAAACACGATAAACTCAGTGTCTGTGCTGGGTGCATAGCATCAGTTCAGTGTGTTTTTAACATTACTCTTTCACACATTCAAATGTTAAAGAAGTGAACATTGGGATAAATTGTCCTCTAATTTTGTGAAAGACAAACGCAAAGAAAACTTTGAAATTTTTTTTAATTAAAGAAAGATAGTTTTAACAACAAAAAAAGAATTTATTTGGAATCATGCAAGTAGTTCAACTGCACATTTTTCACGGAGAATGGGAGGTAACATGATAAATATGAATATTTTATATTTAACATTGTAAATTTTAATTATCTTTTTTATTATGAATAAGATATATGTTCTGTAGAAAAATTTATTAATAGAAAGCTTTAAAAACAAGTCTGTGTCACCATGAGATATAATCAATGCTTTCCTTCCCAATTCAAATATGTTTTCAGACAAATTTGTTGTTCTTGGCATTTGAAAAAGTATTATTGGTTACCCTTTTCATCCATACTTGCAGGCAATTAGTTTACTCTTTATTTCTTAATATTTCAATAGTAATTATGTTATTAAAATATTTTTATATTGTCAAAAAATTTTTTTTATTAAATAAGTATTTTTGAAAACTGTTTACTCTCTCCACAAGCATTTATTGAGAACCTGCTGTATTTGCAATCACACAGAAGTTTAAAATCTATCAGCATAGCAAAAGGAAAGACATTTTTAAAAATCACACAATGAAGTAAGTGCTTTATTAGACACAGAAAAGTGGATGAGGATAAAGAAGTTGGAGAAAAAAAGTTCCAATTTGGGATATCGAAAGCTTGGAGGCAATTTTGGAGATACATCTTTAAGATGGAGGTTGAGAGGGAGGGACATGTTTCAACGTGAAGAAATGGTTATAAACTGAGGTGCAAAGAGAAAAAAAGAGGTCTGGAGGATTGAGGGGTGTGAATCACTGAAGGTAGATGATGATCAAATGCCTCGAGTGCTGGTCTATGGCCATAGGCAGAGATTCATGCTGCAGTGTCCAGCGATCACACTGTGAGGACCCCAGGGTTTTTCTGAGGGTGAGATGGGGGCTGGTCATCAGGATTGGAATCTCTCCTATGCAGCTGGACTGCCCCAATTTACTCCCCTCCTTCCTACTGGGGGTTTCTGCACAAGATTCCTTTTGGTGGAAAGTTTCTATTATAAATAAATATGTGAACAACATATTTATTCATAAAAATATATATAATGTATTCATATAAATATATGAATAAAATCAGCGACTTCTGTAGGGCATGGAGAGTCTATGAATATTATTGAAGTGGAAAGTAACTCATTAAGTCTGACTTCAAATAGAACTGTATTTGTGGTTTCAGGAGAACAAGAAAATGATGGAAAAAAAGAGAAAAGATGGAAACAGATCAGGCCCAAGGCTGTGCTTTCACAGGTGGATCTCTTTGAGGAAGAGGCAGACTTGCAGAGGCTAGGCAATTGATAAGACAAAAATAACCTGAAACACACCAGTTGAAGAAAGCAATAGTGGGGAGTAGTTAGAAGTGTCACTAGGAGGATACAGGAGTTTAGGAGAGAGAGGTGACTCCAAGGTGACATCCCGAGAAACCTGGCAAGCAGTTGGAAGTTCAACACAGTTGGAGAACGAGGTCAGTGTTTAACATGTACATGTGGAAGCTGTCAGGTTTCAAGTTACAGTTGGGCACCGTGGAGGTGAATGCCACCGTCCAGGGAGCTAGCAGGTGTATCATCACCAGCTCCTCTTTTTCCCACTGCCGTCTCTAACACGGAGATCACTGTTGCCTGTGAAATTGTCTGCGTGCTTCAACTGCCGCCCTCCTCCCATCCATAAACTTGTTGAATTCAATTTCTGAGTTCCAGGCAACAATAACTGACTCTGCAAACTTCCATTTATTAGAAGACTTTGGCAGGGTCTGGGGAAGTGATGGGGTGGTGCGGGTGGTGGGAAGACAATAAATAACTAAAGAATCCCCAGAGGGCTGTGTGCTTTGCCATGAACATCAGTAGGAAGCCGTAGGATCCTGGAATGAGTTGGCAGAGAAACCTCAGCAGACAGCCTGTCTCGGGGCACCCTGCTACCATAGGGTTGCTTCTGATCTTCTGCATTTCCTCCGACCTTGTATCACTTACTCCATACTCACCATCCTGGGAGTGGACATTTGCCAGGATGTGCATTCATCACTTTGTTGATTCACCAGCATGTCCGTCATAGTCTAATCATCTAGACCTCCTTTGAGTTTAGAGAGCAACTTAATATTCTTGTTCTTAGAATAAATCAGACCTCGTTATCTGGAGTTTTAAAACCAAGTTATTTGCCTTCCCCATTAGAATGTAAACTTTGGAAAAACAGGGACTTTTCTGTCTTATTCATTGTTCTATGCCCAGAAGCATCAATGAGTGTTTGGAAAACATTAGTATGTTTCTTAATAAGTAACTCTAAATGCAGGATGGGATAGATGAATGGATAAAAGTAGAGGACAAAAGACAGAACTTGAAAAACGGGTGGATGGGTCGGACATGGTGGCTCACGCCTGTAATCTCAGCACATTGGGAGGCTGAGGCGGGGCAGGTAGATGACTTGAGGTCAGGAGTTCGAGACTAGCCGGGACAACAAGGTGAAACCCCGTCTCTACTAAAAATACAAAAAATTAGCTGGCTGTGGTGATACATGTGTGTAATCCCAGCTATTGAGGAGGCTGAGGGAGGAGAATTGCTTGAACCCGGGAGGCAGAGGTTGCAGTGAGCCAAGATCTCACCACTGCACTCCAGCCTGGGCAAAGAAGCAAGTCTCCATCTCAAAAAAAAAAAAAAAAAATAGTTGGATGCTTTACTTCAACTCAGCCAGGAAAATATCACAACGTATGTCTCCTCTTTTGTTCTTCAATGATTTCTGCATATCTTAGTCCTCCATCCAAAAGATTTCTAATGTAACATACCTGCATCCTTGGTGTTGGCTGGGTTACATAAATAGAAAAGTAAAATTCAAGAAATTATAGCATTAAGGACAGCAACAGTAAAATTTTACTGTGTCTTTTACAGCTACTCAGAAAAGGATCTACCGTGCATGAAGAAACAGATTAACATAATTCAAATTATGAGCAGCTATATTTGTAGCTCTGCTAAGGGAATGTAGACATGTCTACATATGAATACAGCCCTCACCTGTATAGACACTAAAATGTAATTCAGGTATTTCATTTCATTCTCTCATCTCCTCACTTCAATTTTAGGTGAGAATACCAATTCAATTCTCCATACATCAAATTTCCTTCTCCTGAAAAATATTATAGGATTTGTGGACAGAATTACTTTTATGTAAAGTCTTCATGATAACTGAATTGGACTACGTTGTGTTTGCACCCATATAAATCTAAACAAGCCTGAGAGCAGCTTTATCTCTAACTTTCTGTCTGACTTTCTCCTGATGGCAGCATGACGGGGCTGGTCAGTGATTTCCGGGTTCTGTGTGTGGTATGGAGGGAAAACATCAAAAAGAGGGCAGAGCACATTCCCTCCCAGATTTTTCCCCAATAAATGATCAAGTAACTTTTCCTGATGATATGAAGACAGAGGATAAAATAAAGATTGATTGTTTTTATACTGTTAAACATAGTTGGATATGAATTAATTTTATCAGTTTATATAACATGCAGATTTTGGGATAAAGACCACTGACAAGTAGCTTTGGATATAAGATATCTCAGTTTTACATAAAATGTTTTACATTCATTATGGTGATCGTCTTCATAAAAATTTGAGAAATTATTGCATCAATTCATACCAATCCAATCATAGACCAGTGAAAAGTTACGAATCCAAACCTTCTGAATTCGGGACTCCTCCGTCCTCTGCTGGTTTTCTTCCCACTACGCGGTGCGCTGGCATTAGTTCCCTCTATGGAAGCTTATTTCTACATTCACTGCCACTGGTGTTCTCACATAGTTGTGGTCTCCCTTCTATCCCTTGCTCAACCCTCTTCCATGGCCTCCAGACCTATGTAACCTGTTATAATGTCGGCCATTCTACAGGCAAGCCCAGCAGACTTGGAGCTTTGGTATCCAAAGCTGAACGCCTGCCTTACACTCATGACCTGGTTCTCCTGAGATCTCCTTCACCTGTAGTTATTTCACACTCAGGTTATGAACTCACAATCACCCCCAGCTCCTCCTTTTTATCGTAATGCCCATATCCCATTCAGGAGAAAGTCCCACCGGCTCTACCTTCAGGACACAGGCAGGTTCAGACCATGTCTTCCCATCTTGCTGCCAATGCCCTGGTTCGGGGTCCTGACCACCTTCCTCCCTTCACCACTGTGTATTCTCTCAGCACAGCCTCAGGAGCAGGGCTAAACCCCAGGTAGGTCATGAGATCGTGTCGTTTTCTAGGCAGGGCCATCCAGTGCCCCATCATGTCACTGAAAGAAACCTCCAACCCTTACAAGGACCCCCCAGTCACAGAGGTGTCCTTTCTGTTCCCTGTCCCTGCAGCTCCACTGTAGCTTGAGCCCTGGTCCTAACCACTTTCTCTCTACCCAAATTGTTCCCCAGGTATTCACTGTTTCCTTTGTCTCTCTCAAGTCCTTATTTATAGACCACTTCCTAAGTACGGCACCGCTGGCCACCCAGAAGCCTCACACTATCCCATCCCTTTTTCTTAATTTTCTTCACAGTCATGTGTCATCTGCCAATATTGTATATCATCTGCCTTTTATGTTGTTACAGGTTTTATCCTGTCTTTTCCAACTGGAATTCATACTTTAGAAGGGCAGATATTTTATCTCTCTTATTATTAATCATCCCTGATGCTGGGGGCAGAGCTTGCTCAATAGCAGGTGCCCAATAACGATTTGTTGAATACATTAATTTCAAGTGGGATGTATAATGTTACTTCTTTCACAGTGAAATGTGGAGTCACTGCAATCTTCAGATGCAAAAATTCCATGAGAAATTCTTAAAATATTCTAGAAATTATTTTAAAAATTTTCTCTTTTGCCGATTTTTATATCATGCTTCCCATGAGGTTTACGTATTAAAGGAGATGATTTGTTCCCTTAAGATGGATGGTTAGTGAGCACGATGAGGCTAGTCACATCTTTCATAGATTATCTAATTCTTTTGTGAATATTATTTGTGGAAGAGGCTTTTATAAAACATAATTCAGAATGATCATACTAATTGGAAGAAGTTATTCTGAGTATCATTTACTTCATGATAGTTCATCTTACCTAGTTTAAGAAAAGAAGTATAAATATATACATGCACAGAATGTGGGCATGTTAAAAAAAAAAAAAGCAAAGGAACCTTGTGAAATGCATAGTAAATTGTGACACTGAGTGATGTTTCACTTGTGAGACACTATTGTGAGCTCCTTACATGTATTCACTTATTTCATTCTTCAGCAAGCAGGAATGAGCTGTGATTTTTGCCCCATTTTACATGTGAGGCCATGGAAGCACAGAGCGGTAGAGAACTTTGCACGTGTTACTAACTAGTAAGTGGATGTATTAGTCAGTGTGCTCCAGAGAAACAGAACCAGGATTTATTGTGGGAATTGGCTCATGTGTTTGGGAGGCCAAAAGGTCCCAAGATCTGCCTTCTGCAAGCTAGACATCTGGAAAAGCCAGTGGCATAATTAAGTCTGAGACTGAAGACCTGGGAACCAGGGGAGCTGAAGATGTATGTTCTGGGTCTGATGGTTCAAGAACCAGGAGCTCTGAAGTCAGGGTCAAGAGAAGATGGATGTCCCAGCTCAAGAAAAGATAAAATTTTTCTTTACTCTGCCTTTTTTTTTTTGATGGAGTTTGACTCTTGTTGCCCCAGGCTGGAGTGCAATGGCGTGATCTCAGCTCACTGCAACCTCCGCATCCCGGGTTTAAGTGATTTTCCTTCCTCAGCCTTCTGAATAGCTGGAATTGTAGGCTTCTGCCACTATGCCTGGCTAATAATTTATATTTTTGATAAACATGGGGTTTTGCCATGCTGGCCAGGCTGGTCTGGAACTCCTGACCTCAGGTGATCCACCTGCCTCAGCCTCCCAAAGTGCTGGGATTACAGGTGTGAGCTACCGTGCCCAGCCTTTTCTCTGCCTTTTTATTCGGTTCCAGCCCTCAGCAGATTGAATGATGCCAGTTCACATTGGTGAAAGCAAATCTTCACTCAGTCCACTGACTCAAATTCTAATCTGTCCTAGCAGCACCCTCACAGACATGACCGGCCTCTTACCAGCTATCTGGGCAGCCCTTAGCCCAGTCACACTGGCACATAACCTTCACCATCACAGTGGAGGTGCTGCAGTGAGGGTGGGCAGCCTGGTCTCGAGATCTGAGCTGGTGACATCCATAGGCCTCACAACTGCAGGTGGAGAGGTTCCAGGAGAAGAGCAAGACCCGGAGCACATGGCTGTTTGTTTGCAGAGCATGAACGGCAGTTGCCTTTCCTGCCTCTACCCTCCGGCTCTGGTGACTCCATTTCCTTTTATTCTTTTTCAGTTCAGTGCTTCCATTCATAGGATAGCTTGAGAGGTCTTAAGATATGAAATAAAAGAAGAAAGTTGGCGGGAACGTGTCAATATTCTCCTCTTGATGTCTGTAAAATTAGGGCATATGGAGTCTATTCAAAAGGTTAAATTATTGATATCTTAAGAATTGAATTCCCGTTAGCAACTCTCAGTAGATAACGTTTTGATCAGTATCTATCAGTAGGTACCATTTTAATCATTTAGTAGCTACTACACACTGTAAATTGTGTTCTACAATGGCAATCATTGCAAACACCTATCCATGAGATGGATTTTATCATAATTTCTATTTTCAAGATGGGAGAAATGTAAAGGATTGAGAGACTTACCAGAGATCACAGAGCTAGTGAGAAGCTGAGCTGGCATTTGAACTCATAACTTTCTAACATCAGAGTTGAGCACTTAAGCTCCCATATTCTGCAGACATCCTAATTGTTGCCACTTTCCCATTGAAATGATTACATAAAACTTTCTCTTCTTTTTTTCCAAAATGAGTGTCTGAAGTGAGTGTTTGAACATGACATGGTTTGTTGAGGGGATTTGAACTCAATGAAGTGCTGCTAAGAAGACCAGCGGCTCTCAGGAGTGCAAACCTGTACCATGTCTGCAATTCTGAGGCTTGTTAATGCAGGTTCCAGCTCTCCTGCTGTGCCTTATTCTGTGTTACGTTGTCAAGGTTTTGTAGTGGTTAAGATCCCTTCATATGAACTAGCATATGATATTTGCAAGTAACATAAAGCTCAGGTTCTGCTTGGTTTTTCTTGGATATGACATTAAATTTGTTAATCCTTGTGCAAATTGCATGCCATTTAACCAGTATTTTGTTCTGGCAATCATTGTGAAACTTTAGTGCTGTAATCATCTCTCTTTATTATTTTAAGCTCTATGTGGAGGCTACATCCAAGGGAAGAGTGGAACAGTCCTTTCTCCTGGGTTTCCAGATTTTTATCCAAACTCTCTAAACTGCACGTGGACCATTGAAGTGTCTCATGGGAAAGGTAAGAATCTATCATAGGTCTCAAACATACAGACTAATAAATGAGACAGAAAAACGGGAACAAAACAAAAACATATTACGGTGTAAACAAGTGAGATAACTACTTTTCTCATGTATAGTTCAAGATTTTAACTTATTATTTAATAAGATTTTGGAAGAACAATAGTCTTTCAACTGTACAATAAAAACCATTCCCCGTTTTGCTCTCTGTTTATCAGATAACCTGAATATACGCATGTGAACATAAGCTTGAAATATAGCTATCGTGGTAAGGAATAAAGGCATCTATTCAATAAAATCTGACCATTGATTAAATAAAGGGAAATAAGCGATTGTCCAACTTCCAATTTCATGATATATCTGGGACAATTTTTGTACTTTCCTTGTATTTTATGTTTACCCAGTATCATCATACATAATGAATAATTTATCTTCACATAATCCAGAGATGGCTCATAGAATAGATATTTCTATCCTCATTTTATAGGTAAGCATAGTGAAGATCAGGATATTTTGCATTTTGTGCAGGAAATGTAGATTATAAACACTGGGATTAGGATTGTAGCCTGAAACTTTTTTCTGTGACTAAACGTGTCATCTTTAAGAGTCTATTTGGGGCCAGGTGAAGTGACTCACGCTTGTAATCCCAGCAGTTCGGGAGGCCAAGACAGGTGTATCACCTGAGGTCAGGAGTTCCAGACCAGACTAGCCAATATGGTGGAACCTTGTCTCTACTAAAAATACAAAATAATTAGCCAGGCATCGTGGTGCATGCCTGTAATCGCAGCTACTCTGGGGGCAGAGTCAGGGGAATGGCTTGAACCCAGGAGGCGGAAGTTGCAGTGAGCTGAGATTGCGCCACTGTACTCCAGCCTAGGAGATAGAGCGAGACTCTATCTCAAAAAATAAAATAAACAAGAGTCTATTTGGAATTTCGATCACATAAGTATTATGTAGACTTCGTCTTTTCACATAGATTTGAACCCGACTTAATATGAAATGGCTACATTTTATTATGTGTACTGTGTGGCACTATGCTGCCATGAATGACATGAAAGAAGAACTTGCCCTGAAGGAAATTAAGCATAAAGAAGACACAGATTATGAGTGATCAAAGTTTTATAATCATAAAAATACACATTTTTATTAGAAGTTATCTGTTCACAGTTAATTTTATTAATTTCACTATAGGAATCCAGAAATAAGCCTTTGTAGTTCCGGTTACTATGAGGTCATATGCTTTACGGGCATCTAAAACTACATTTTTAAGGAAGTTTTTCCTCGGTTATGCAGACCTCCAAATAAGATTTTTCTAAAGGACACCTGTTTAGAGTAAATTGAAAATTTGTCTGGTCCTTTGTCCCTCTGGGACAAATACTGTCCCTAAGAGTCTACTGACAATTTTTAAATGAAACCCATTGTAAACATTCTCACCTGTTTTTCTTAAATATACATATCTATGCCAATATGTACATCTATATCTGTATCTATATATAACTACATCTATAATCTCCATATTTCCTCAATATTGATGTCCACATCATATCTTCATATTTACATCATATCTGTACTTATATGCACTTAAGTATTTATTTTTGTTGTTTATCCCTTCTGCTTTTTTTCATTTCTAAAGCCGTCCTCTTTCCACCAATTTTCCTCTTAAACTTCAAAGCTAGATTTTCATATCAAGATAACATTTTAATATTTTGATTAAGGCTTGATGTGTCTAAGTCCAGAAAAAATTTTTCAGCAATTGTTACCTCTCCTAACCTCTCTCTTTTTCTCTCTCTCCTCTCCATCTCTCTCCATCTCTGTCTCATCTCTTTATCATCTCTGTCTCTCTGTGGCTATTACTCTCTGCAATCTGTCTTCCCCTCTTATTTTCTCTTCCTCTCCATCTCTGTCATCTCTATGTCTCTGTCTCTCTCTGCCCCGCTCCCTCTCTGCCCCCGCCGCCCCGTGTGTCTCTCTCTGTCTCTCTCTCTCTCCCCCGGCTTCATTTCTCAGGAGTTCAAATGATCTTTCACACCTTTCATCTTGAGAGTTCCCACGACTATTTACTGATCACAGAGGATGGAAGTTTTTCCGAGCCCGTTGCCAGGCTCACCGGGTCGGTGTTGCCTCATACGATCAAGGCAGGCCTGTTTGGAAACTTCACTGCCCAGCTTCGGTTTATATCAGACTTCTCAATTTCGTACGAGGGCTTCAATATCACATTTTCAGGTATGTTGGTCTTGTTTGCTGTTTCTCTCCTCTGGCAACAATACTGCCATTTCTGTTAGTGAGAATGTGTGTGGGTGTGTGTGTGTGTGTAATGTGTGCATCCGTGTGTGTTTGTACATGCGTGACTTGATTCCAACTAATGGGGTGCAGGAGGCTGAGCCTCCACGAAGCAGGGTGCAAGTACAGTTATGTGGCATCCAGAAAATGCCACTTTGTGTTACACAATTTGTGAATTCTCGTCTTTGAAAAATCTGTAGATGTCACTACATTCTGCAAAGCCCTTCTCACTCGATTCTCTTCACCAACTCTACAAGATCTCTGAGGAAAGTTCCTTTATTGGGAGGCATCCTCTGGGTCTGTTGTCACCTGATTGCATTGGTTTCTACCCTACGGTAGGTGCCAATATTTGCATTGACAACCACCTCTAGGATGAAAGAAGCAGGTGGACACACACAGTTGAGGATGAGCTTGTAGTTTAATATATTCATATGCAATGACAAAAAATACTCCAAGTTAGGTAACATCTTTATTTTTAATGATAATATATAGATAATATTTGCATAAGGTTTATGTTACAGCAGAAATTATTTGTATGGGTTAGATTGTTTAATTTGTATAGTTCTATGACAGAGATGCTAATTTTTTCTACAGATAAGAAAAAATTGCCGCCACTTAAAAACTGGCCAAACATGTGAGAGATAAACTTGGTCACATAAACAAATGATGCTCAGTGAACAGGTCACACTGAGAACCTCTGCAGTGTCTTCATTTCCAGCATGCCCCCACCCTCCACCAACAGAAAGGGCCCTGCTGCACTACAGCTGCCAAAGGATGGGAACAATCATATTAACTTGCATTTGTGCATATGATGCTTTGGACGAAGAGGGTTTTCCTTCCTTATTCCTCATAGCCCAGATCAAATGTAATTTTCATAAGGTGGTCCCTGGGTACCACAGTCACATGTAATTTATTCTACTTTTGAGATCTCATAAATTCCTTAATAACTTCTGATGCCACTTATGAGATTATGTGTCACAATAGTTGAGTATTTATCTTATCTCCCAAACCAAAACTGAAGATCTTGGTAGAAAGTTTGCTTGCCCCACTTTTATATAAACAACAGCTCTACTGCTGTATGTTACTGTAAGATGAGTTACTCATAAGTAAGATGATGTTCCACTGTGCGGGGATCGACACCCCTAATCCTTGTATTATTCAAGGTCAACTGTAGTTCAATAATACAAGGGTTGGGGTGTCAACCCCCACACAGTGGAAAACCTGAGGGTAACTCTTGACGCCCCAAAAACTTAACTACTAATAGCCTACTGTTGACCAAAAGCCTACAGTCAATTAACACATAAATAAACTAGTATCTACATATATTTTGTGCTTTCATGATATACCTAACATTTTACTAATTTCTAAGGTAAGTCTTGATGACATGGTTCGTCTGCATGTGTTTTTAAGTTGTAGCAAATCTCCAAAAAATTGTCAATGTATTTATTGAAAACAATTCATGTATAAATGGATTCAAGTAGTTCAAACCCACATTTTTCAAGAGTCAACTGTAATAAGAACTTCACAATTGCCTACTAACTAGTGCATGTTGATTAACATTATGTAAAATCAAATAGTGTCTTCAAGGAAAATATTTCTTGGGGATTTTAAGATGCTCTGAACTACTTTATACTCCCTCTAATTCTACCTAGTTGCCATTTATCTTAATCTGACTTTGTTGATTTTTCTTGGTATTTCACTACTCAAGTGAAGCTTTCAAGACTGGCTCAGACCACTTGATTTCTTGGAAATTTGTTGTAATCAGCAGTAATCATGAAACTTGCCACTTTATATATCAAAGACTTAAATCTTCCCAACACTAATTCCTAAATCCCTCTCTCTCTGCATTCTCCCCTGGTGTATCTCAATTAGTATTGCTATGAGAATATCACTTCCTCCAGTTCTTACTTTCATCAGGACCCAAAATGAATTTAAATAGACTTCTCCAAAAAAAGAAAATGGCAGTGACGCAAGTCTGTTACAGTTCACTTCTGCAGGTGTTTCTCAGAAGTCTGTGCAAATTCTATTCATTTTACTGCATCAGTTTCTTATTCTGGTGCCCTCACCACAGGTCTGACAGTAACTCTTTTGACGACTACTGTCTTAGTCTGTTTGTGCCACTTGCCATAACAGCATACCTGAGACTAGATAATTTATAAATAACAGAAATTTGTTTCTCAATTCTGGACCCTGGGAAGTCCAAGATCAAGGTGCTGGCATCTGGGGTGAGCCTTCTTGCTGTGACATCACATGGCAGAAGGTAATATGGTCAGAAAGGGGAGAATCGCCCATATCCCCATGGGGTAAAAGAGAAGAAGCCCTTTTAATGGCTTTAATCCATTAATGAGGGTGGGTCCCTCATGACATAAACACTCCCAAAAAGGGGATCAAATTTCCAGCACATGGATTTTGGGTAACACACTCAGACCATATAAAAGTCAGAATGTAACTACACAGCTGACACTGTCATTATAAACTACTTGCACAAACAAGCAAGCCAACAACAATAAAATACTCTTTCATGGGTCTTTAAAGTGGTTAACAGTCTGTAAACATTCAGAACAATTCATTTAAACATAACCAGTAGAAAATAATACCTAAAGCCTGCAGAAGAAATAAATTTCATCTAGACAGTTGCACACAAGCAGAAAGTCTTTTTAAAAACAAAAGACAACACTTTGGATTTCAAAGTCGACTTTAAAGTAAACAAATTCTTCAGGTATGTTAGAGGAGTAATTTCATTTGGTAGGATTTTTGCCTAGAAACTGTGCTGCAAACAATTGCCAGTGACACTGATACCATGGAGTTTTTTTTTTAAGTATACAAATAACTAGCAACTTTATTATACAAATGAGGCATTTACCCATCCAGAGACTTTGTGGTTTATCATAAATGGTATTCATATGCTTTTATATCTGCCTTCTTTCCTGTTAATCGAGTTTATTTCTGCCTTTCTCAGAAGGCCTTATTAAAGCAGTGTTTCCTGATTGTGTTTCCTAGTCAGTATTTCTGCAGATGTTAACGGTAATATTGTAGAAAAAGAGCCCCGTATTCCAGTTGGCTTAGATAAACCTGCACAATCCCCATTCTACATAACATTGTCTGCTACTAGTTGCTAACTATGTGCACTGGATACTCCACACTTACTTTCCCACTCGCTACGACGTGTCTACTTCTTCAGTGCTAACTTCTAGTGAATTAGCATCATTTCTCAGTCATTCTCTTCAAAAGGTTAAAAGTTGGACCACTTTGTGCCATTACATATGTGATTTTCTCTTCATTCAAAAGCCTTGGTGGCAGGCGCCTGTGGTCGCAGCTACTCAGGAGACTGAGGCAGGAGAATGGAGTGAACCCGGGAAGCGGAGCTTGCAGTGAGCGGAGATCGCGCCACTGCACTCCAGCCTCGGCAATACAGCGAGACTCGGTCTCAAAAAAATAATAAATAAATAAATAAATAAATAAGCCTTTCTACATTTTTCACCAGGCAAAACTCCTCCTGTCCAGGTCAGAGGGTGTCTCTGACATGCAGCCTTTCTTCTTTTCCCTAGGCAGAATTTGTTTTCTTCTATATAATACAGGAGAAAAACGTTTCCATGACGTTTTTACACCAAAATTATTCCTTTCCCATAATGACTTTTCTGTATTTGTCTCCTTCAATGGTACCATGACTTTTCAAATGAGGATACTGTTTCTTCTTCTGTGGTTGAGTCATGAGTACCTGGGACAGAGGAGAGTACGCTCATTCTTTAATTGCCTAGGCAGGTCTCTGACAGGCTGAGACTTGATTGTGAAGCAGGGAATGGACAGGCCAGCTAATTTGGGTGGGCTCTCAGCAGACGGAGGTACAATGGGAGGACCAAGACACCAAGTTTAGGATAAAGCAGAGGGGCACTGTGGCCAGACCCCTGAAACCGAGGGGAAAGTGGAGGGACGTGAAGTTAGTTATGGAGGGCAGATAACATAAGTAACTTGGATGTTAACTCAGGATGTTGCATGAAGCCATTGGATGGATTTGAAGAGCTTGACATGATCTGAGCTTTTTCAATGTTTACTTGAAAGACAATGCGTGAGTCTCAACAGGAACATGTTACACAATAATCCCAGCAAGAGATGCAAGATGGAAGCTGAGACTACAGGAAGGATGCAAGGTTAGAGCTGACTTGATTGGCAGGAAGTGAAGGTGTCATATAAAATACAGAGTGGGGTCAAGATTTTGCACCTGCATGAATGAGGATGCTCTGTTTTACGTGAAAACCACTGGAAGCAAAGCAGGTTTGGGAAGAAAATACAGACCTTTTTCTCCTGGGGATATTGAGGGATGTATTCAAGAGTGATTGACAAGAGTCTTCAGTTCATATAACAGGATCATATTAAAGAAAAAGAAATACTGGAAACCCATCGGCATAGAATTAATTTCAACACATGGGGCAGCAGAAGTTCCGAATCAGCCAAATGAGAAGTTGGGTCCAGTGAGTTAGGAGGAGAGTGGCATCCAGGGAGCTAAGAAAGGAAAGCCTTTGGAGAAAAAAGAGAGCATTCAACTGTATTAAAACCTACTTAGTAAGAGGAAGCCTAAGAATTGACCATTGGTTTTTGCATCCGGAGGTCACAGTGGCTTTGGTAAGATCATTTGAGTGGAAGGCTGTGAAGGAAAGCCTGAATAGATGAGAGGAAGACAGTCTTGGAAGGGAGGATGGGAAAATGGAAGGTACACCCAACACTTTGAAAAATTTGTGCTAATGATAACCAGAGTAGGGATATGGTGGCTGGGTGACTGTGAAGTCCAGAGATTGGTGTTGTTAGTTTGTTTTGTTGGTGGTTTTGGTTGTTTATCTCATTCTTAAGATTGACCGTGTAACGCATATTTTTATCTTGATGGAAATAAGAGAATTGATGAAGGGGGAAAAAAAGGATAAACTCCAAGAACAAAATCTTTGCGTTGGTGAGAAGATGGAATTCTGAAGGCAATACACTTTTCTTGTGTTAGACAAAGATGAACATGCACACCTTGCAAATATACTTTGTATAATAATGATTAAGTGATAATTAATATAAGAGAATCCTTAGAAAGCCTAATCAAGATGGTTACAACTAACACACACCTTCTAACCTCATGGTGTTGTTTCAGGCTTTCTGTCCTTCTAAGTTGCTTTCAGAGGATATTGTATAAACTACAATATATAGTAAAAATATACTTAAAGCAAAGAACCATAAGATCATGGTGTTTCTTTATATAAGATAATAGGTATAGCACATAATAATATCAAAATATTCTCCTGTTTGGCAAGAATGTTTTTGTTTGTTTTTTTTTTTTTTTTTTTTTGAGATGGAATCTTGCTCTGTTGCCCAGGCTTGAATGCAGTGGTGCAATCTCAGCTCACTGCAACCTCCACCTCCAGGGTTCAAGCGATTCTTCTGCCTCGGCCTCCCGAGTAGCTGGGATTACAGGCATGCACCACCATGCCCAGCTAATTTTTTTGTTATTTTTTATTTTATTTTATTTTATTTTTAGTAAAGACAGGGTTTCACCGTGTTAGTCAGTCTGGTCTCAAACTCCTGACCTCATGATCCACCCGCCTCTGCCTCCCAAAGTGCTGAGATTACAGGTATGAGCCACAGTGCCTGGAGTTTTCAACTATTTTTAAAGAAATGACAGGAAATGTATGGCTTGAATTGAGTGCACACAGTATATCCTTAGATAGAAGTAGAATGATAACAGCAAGGTATGTGATAATATTATCTGAATTGTGACATCTTTATTTTAATATGTTCTAAAAAGTAAACGTATGATAGGTTGTCAATTAATGTTTGTTGAGTTCAATTAAATGACATTGTCTATATTATTTTCTTTCTGAGTCATACTATGCATAAGTCAAATTAATAAGTATATCTCAAGGTTATCAATGTTAGTTTGAATGTTTTACAGATCCAGAGTAGATTGCTTATCTAAACGCAAAGATAATTCAGAAAGTATCCACCTCAGAGCTTTACCAGTAAGCTAAGTGAGATGAAGGAAGTGTTTAGGTACAGAGTTCCATAAAAGTTTTTATAAAAGTGCAGGTATGAGATCTCAGTGACAAACTCAGCAGATAATGAAAACTAAACTAAAAAAAAAAAAAAGAAGGATCAGATTTGAGGAATACTAAGGGGAAAAGGATCAGTTGGATTTTATATGTCCAGTGAAAATAATGAACCTAAAATTCCGAGTTAGGGGAACCCTAAAGATGGTGTTAGAAAAAAGTAGAAGTAATTTTTTTTAGAAAGATTAGCATAGTTTTCTAAACGTTTCTTCCCCACGGTAAACTAAGAGTGATCTTCATTGTCCCAATTCTTTGCAATAATGCACATCTTTTAGTTGGCCTTTCAAGATTCTCTCTGAAACTCTTCTTACCATTCCAATACCTAAGCATATTTTCCTAGTTGGCTGGCTGACTGTTTGATACTATCTGACAAAACTGGGCATTACAGACTGGGGAAACAGCAAGAAGGAGGAAACCAAACAAATAGGCACTTACCCACACTTTCTCACTTCCCACTGTCAAAACCATGGACTTGATAATGGACCAAGAGGCTGGTGACAGCCAGAGCTCAATTATACGTACATACTACGGAGATCAGAAGGAGTTGGCTGTAAAGAACGTGGCAAACACAGAAGTGAGATATCAGTGCTGACATTTTGAATACTTACTCCCAAAATGCAGCAAAATATCAGACATTTATTTTTTAATTTATATTTAGCACTTCCTTCTTGAATGGTTTATAGTAATTTTAGTACAAAATCTTGTCTACTACTTTTCAATCTCACATGGTTTACAGATTGAAAATAAACAGAGGAAAATTCCACTGTTCCTCACTGAGGTATATTCTAGAGGCAAAATTGGCTCTGATAAGATTTCCAGAAACATAGCCCTGTGCCTTTGCTTTTATGTTATGCTTCATGCGTTAGTTACCAAAAAGCACCTTTGGGAGGGATACAGTAACCAATTTAAGCAATTAGAAATATCAGTAAAATTATTCCACACTCTCAAGCTGACAGTTTTGAAGTGAATTATCTCATTTTAATATGCTATTTGTCTGCTTGTCTTCTAGTTACATAATAATTGTACACATTTATGGGGTGCATGTGATATTTTGATACATGAGTAGAATGTGTGACAAACATATCAAGATACTTAAGAATCCCATCACCTCAAATATTTATTATTTCTTTGTGTTGGGAACATTTCCGATCTTGCCTTTGAGCTATTTTGAAATGTACACTGTATTATTACTCACTATAGTCACCTTACTCTGCTATCAAGTATTAGAACATATTCCTTCTAACTGTATCCTTGTATCCATTGACCAACATCACTTTATCCTTCCCTCCATACACCCCCTTCCCAGCCTCTAGTAATTCTCATTCTTACCTGTCAATTCTTAAAAAAAAAAAAATACTAAATCCCATGTCATTTGTCATAAGACAGTTCATAGTACAAGAAAAAAAATGCACGTAACAGTTATAAGTGTTTGGGGAAAATATATATGTAGGTTTTTTTTTTTTTTTTTAGTAATAGCACTTTTTATTCTTGCTATTTAATCTTTGTGTATTTACCCAAATCCTCATGCATTTACTCTGTCTCTGCATGCCTCAGAATATGACCTGGAGCCATGTGATGATCCTGGAGTCCCTGCCTTCAGCCGAAGAATTGGTTTTCACTTTGGTGTGGGAGACTCTCTGACGTTTTCCTGCTTCCTGGGATATCGTTTAGAAGGTGCCACCAAGCTTACCTGCCTGGGTGGGGGCCGCCGTGTGTGGAGTGCACCTCTGCCAAGGTGTGTGGGTAGGTGGTCACACGCTTTCATTTCATTCATCCATGGGGGCAGGGTCTAGCCCAGGCAAGAAGCCTAGGGTGGTCGGGGTCGGGTGGGGGTTTGTTGACAAGGAAGGAGAGGGTGAAAGTGTGGGCTCCACTCTGCCAACCAGGGGAGAGGGGAGCTGCCTAACTGCTCTGGGCTTGAATTAGCTCATCTATAAAGTAAGTCCCTTTCAGCTCTGAAATTTTATGATTGAACAAGAGTGAAACCAAAGCATGTGTCAAGCATATTTATGAAGGGAAAAAATATATATATACGGAGAGAGAGAAAATCTGGAGCAAAAGAAAAACTGGAAGATAGAAGCCAAGCTATAATAACACAACCTCTGACAATTGCATTGATTAAAAGCAGCACGTGTCCCTTGGTATAACGATGGTGACAATTTTGTTTTTGTTGTCAGTGGCAGCCTTTGATGGGATGATGGTTGCACACTCCTGCTAAGTGGGCACAAGAGGCATCTGAATGCTGAATTCACTTTTTCAGTGTGTTCTGGAGGAATCCAAGAGATAATTCCGAAGAGTAACAGGAATTTTTATTTCGGTACTTTGCCATGAAGTACTAGGCTCACATGCAGGAATTGGCTTGCTGATCCAGTGGGGTGACGTTTATTAGCAATCTGGGAACTGTGCCACTCTAAGAAGTTTAGCAAAGGAGAATCGTAACTGCCGTTGTAGCTTAAATAGGGTGTGTTGTCCACACAGCCAGAGCTCTCGTAGTTAGCTATACGGACAACGTCTAGTTCCTGCCACCCAGCCATGTTGCTCAGCATATTCTGGGTCTTACAAATTGTTCTTTAAAGTTACAGAAAACTGACTAATGTCATTGTGAAGAAAAAAGGGAGATGAGAGATTAACCAAGGTTCTCCTTAATACCAAGCCTTCTGAGTCCATGGGGAGTCCAGAATACGAACCACACTAATTTCACCAGTTAACGAACTGGAGGCAGGTGGGGAAGGTCTGAAGATAAAATTTAACAGTCCATATAAAACACAAACATGTTCACTTAGCATAACTTGTTTAGCATAACTTGTTTTATTTTACCATGGTGCAGAATCTCTTTGATTCTGCCTTTGGGGCAGATTTTTGGGGTTGCTTAGGGATATTATGTAACTCAAATGATAAAGCTATATTTCTGGATTTTAACGAACCAGAGATACACAGTCAGAATTTCGTTATTAAAAAATTAAACAAATAAACATGAATCAAATCATCTGTGTCTGTTTCCAAAACATGTATCTATATATTTTCACAATCTGCTTTTCTCCTAAAATAATGGTTCTTACTGTTTGTGGTTATAATATTTATTTGAGAATGGAAGGCAAATTTTGACTGTTATCTCAAGAAAAAAAATACGGTATTTTGCAGGTGATCATAGGAGTTCCCAGAATTGGTTGGAGTCTAAAGACTCCTGACTGAGATAGTTTGAAATCTGGACAAAACCCCCAACTCAATGAAATCAAGGTGACATCTAGATATGTAACAGTCAGTAGTCTACTGATTATAATGATTAAGACCCATTAAATGTTATTCTATTTCATCCAGAGTCATTATCTTTACACTGTTTTTCTTGTCATTCAGGTTTTTACTCTGTGGTCTAAAATATGAAAACTCAGTAACTAGAGTTGGAAGAATAGGTACTATTTATTAAACAGTGTGTGGTAGACTAGGCACTGCTTCAGGCTCCTTCCATGTAATAACGTGTTTAGTCCCATGACAATTCTACGAAGTAAATGCTGTGATGGACAGTTCCCTGTTACATGTGGAAATGTTAAGACAAAAAGACTCTACAAACTTTGCCCAAGGACACAGAGCTAGGAAGACTCGAACCCAGGGAGCCTGCAACTCAGCCTTTAACCACCGCACTGGACAGGAGGGCCTTGGACAGGCCCTTTTTGTATTTAGCCTTTTGCATTTTGCCTGCAGTTTCCTGATTTTTCCTCCAGCCCCTCTGGTGCATTCGGGTGCTGTCTTCATTTCTCTCTAATTCCCCACACCTGCTTATGTCCTAGCTCTGGAGGATTCTGGCCGCTGCAGAGCTCTCAGTTCAGGCTCCTCCTCCCCACCCTCCTAGCCCCACCTCACTCCAGAACCCCGCAGTCCCCCTGATGCTTTCCCTGGCTCCCCAGACCCCACCAACCCCAGGGGCCGCAGCTCCCAGAATGCTCTCTCCAAAGTGAAAACCCCATCGATTTGCCCAGTGTAACAGAGCCTGGTCAGTGCTTCCCCTACTAATCAGAGCAATCACTCTCCCTCCACGCTGTCCTGGATCAGAGTCCCTCATTCCCTGGCTCTCCAGAGTGCACCCAGTGCTCAGCCAGCAGCCTCCTGCAGACAGATGGAGCCCTCTCAGGCCCACAGAGCACCAGGGCTCTTTCTATAAGGTTGGTGCAAAAGTAATTGCGGTTTTTGCCATTACGTTTTTTTGTTGTTGTTGTTTTGTTTTGAGATGGAGTTTTGTTCTTGTCACCCAGGCTGGAGTGCAGTGGCACGATCTCGGCTCAATGCAACCTCTGCCTCCCAGGTTCAAGCAATTCTCCTGCCTCATCCTCCCGAGTTGCTGGGACTACAGGCACATGCCACCACGCCCGGCTAATTTTTGTATTTTTAGTAAAGACGGGGTTTCACCATGTTGACCAGGCTGGTCTCGGACTCCTGACCATGTGATGTGCCCGCCTTGGCCTCCCAAAGTGCTGGGATTACAGGCGTGAGCCACAGTGCCCGGCCTCAAGTTGTCTTCATCTCTTTGTCTCCCTCCTCAGACTGCTGGCTCCTTTACAGTGGTCTGCCTCATCCCTAAGTTCTGTGTATCCAAAAGAGGAAAATTGCTTTCCTCACAAGGTTCTCTTTTCATCTCAAAAATTTGATTCATCCATGCTTCATGTTCCTTTCTCTAAAATTATAGAAATAAAAATGATTTGCCTGTGGCAAAAAAGAGGCAAATCCATACCAAAGGTTGCAGGTGACACCTAAGGATGTCGACTGAGTTAAAAGTGTGCCGTTTTAACCTCCCTAATAAGTGTCTGACTTAAATGGAATTTCTAGTGAGCATCTGAGCTGAGAACTATTTCTCTCTCTATCAAGTCACTTTGAAATGAAAGAGATGGAAACTTTTTTATTATTTGTGTTTATTCATTTTAGGGTTTTTTTCAACCTGATGATGCATTTAGGATGATAGAAATAGTATCATGTATTCCTTGGGTATTCAACCTCAATGCTCAAACCCTCTCTTCTGGCACCTGTTGGCATGTGCATTACACGTGTATTGTTTAGGATCTTCTTTTTCACTTGCAAATTAGAGAAAAAGTTGCCCACATTGGCTTAAGTCAAAATGAAAGTTTATTGGTAAGGTGATGTAAAGTCCATACCTAGGGACATCTTCAGGTGAGGTTTGATCAAGGGTTCAACCTCATCAACAAGAACCTGAGGTCTCAGCATCTCTCAGTTTTGCCAGTCTGGGTAAAGCACTGGGTGGCTTCCTGATCTCATATCATCACATACAGTGCTGTAGCCCCACATCGTGCAGTTCTGTGGAAACAGCTATGTGAAGATCGCTTATGTACAAGTCCTGGGTTTCCTCTCATTGGCCCACATTGAGTCCCATGCCTATTCCTGAGCAGTCATTGTGGCCAGGGCAGTCGTGATTGGCTTAGCACATTTAGAATTCCATCTGCACAGCTTTTGAATAATAACAAAAACTGAATATTTTGTGATGGTTTGTGACATTTTGGTCAAAAGATCAGGAGCAAAGTTAGAGAGTATATATGATGGAGATAAATGTTTGCTATAATTCCATAACCTAATATTGCATCTATGACATCATTTCAGAATTATTTGAACAAAAAATTTTCTCAGGGTGTTAAAGGGCTGTATGTATACATCAGCATAAGCCTTAAATCCGTATCTAGTAAGAGATTTTTTTAAAAAATGAATGAAAGTGAGATATATATCCTCTTATTGATTAACTGTATTAACTCTATTTGCTTGACAAAGTAGAAAGTCATTGGGCGAAATAAAAAACGAAAAAATATCAACACCCTTATCCTCAGTTTTTGAATGGATTACAAGTTATTTCCGACAGCATAGTGAAACAAAATATCTTGCCTGTATTTTAATTTAATTTATATCTAGTTTAATTTATATCTAGTTTAACACTAAACTCTCTTTCTCTGTCTCTCTATATATATCTATATCTATAGATAGACATATCTATAGATAGATCTATAGATAGACATATCTATAGATATATGTATATCTATATATAGGGAGAGGGTTTAGTGTATCTATATATGTATCTATAGATATATATAGAGAGAGAGAGAGTTTAGTGATATATATATATCACTAAACTGTATATAATTCTATGTAGTTATTTAATTTTGGGTTAAAAAATTGAAACAACGTTCTAAGCTAAAATGTTAGTTTCTGTTGCTTCTTAAAAGCTAATCCAATAACGGCACTAAATTGTAAAAATAAAGGTTTATAGGATAATGAATGGGCTAAAAATAGTACCATTTTGTGAAATTCTTAAATATTCTTCGTGAGTAAATATGGAATTGCATATTTTGATTAATATAGACTTCTATTACGGGCAAGATTTACTTATTTGTTGCGTAGAACACAATGAACTTGGTTTAAAGGAGAAAGGTAGACTTTCTGTTTCTGTTTCTTAGTTGAGCTGTTTTCTATTTCTGTGCTTTTAAAATAAAGCTTCTAAAACATAGAGATCTGCATATTAATAGTTTTCCCAATTTCACAGTGCCCTCAAAAGCCCCACAACAATTTCTACATTTTAATAACCAGAGCCATACACCTTTACTTCCAGCCATTATGTTAAGAAACATCTCTGTTAAATGTGAGGCATTGTATAGGCTCGAGGTTATTTAGGTGGACAAGTTGCTTCAGCTGTAGAATTTGAATCCAATTTAACTGTATTGAATAGGCAGATTGAGAGGTTATATATTTTCACCTACTTTTTAAAATAATTAAATAAATAGTTATTTAATGTCCCCAATAAAATGACCTTGCCGAATATTGAATATGCATTAATTTATACAGACATTTTGGTTAATGCTATGGATTTGGGGCTTCCTAGCCTCCACGTCTGTCTGTTGTTGAGGCCACTCTGTCTGTGGTACTTTGTTACAGCAGGCCAAGCAGACTGAGACAGGAAATTTCACAGGTAGATTCCTTTGTACAGAAGAATTGACTGAAAAATCAATTAACTCCTTTCTTCTGTGTTAATTTCATTTTAATTAGTTTCATTCAATTGCAAAAATCTAAGTGACAATTCAATTATAGTTAACATTTCAGTAGCTTTTTTATAAAACAGCAAGTGATTTGTATTAAGAAACTGTGTTCATTCATCTTAAATTAGTATTAAATAGACTATTGAAAAACTTTTTTAAAATGAAACATTTAATTCTGCTAATGGTGATTTTCAATGAATGTTTTAAATCAAGCTCAAATAATTTTTGAAATTTTGGTCACTTAACTCTTGTGATTTTCTGAGCACTTGCTCTTTACTTAATGTCAGTGTCTTATTAAATTACGTCCTACGGGATACTGCCCCAGGGTCTGGAGCGCTCTCGCAGTTTCTTTGACACATCCATTCTTTCATTTGAATATCATGTTGTATCTGTTTTTGTGTACTAGGAGGCCACCTGCACAGCTTTGGAAATAAGGAAAAGGAAACATTTTGTGATATGCGAGCTATTTGGTGGTATCTTGGTCAGAAAGGTAGGGGTAGTGTTAGAGAGCAGATAGGAATGGAGATAAGAAGCTTCCGCAAGAATTCTTCTGATTTAATTTGAAAACGGAATTAAGTCAGAAGACATGCCTCCAAAAGTATACCAATGTTTCTTCAAAGAACATTTTGTAAAATAGTAACCCATCCCATTCAGAAAGTTGCTTCCCTCAGCAGCAACACTTTCCTATCCTCTTGGAATCACAAGGTTATTAAAGTCATAAGCAAGTAGCCCTCATGGATTATTTCCTATCTGCCAATAGGAATAATTACCAATATTGTGTATTAACAAATGTAGTATAATTATTGCACCTTCTGATAACAGATTGCCTGGGGTTCAAATCATAGTTTCCCTCTCACACCTGTGTGATCTTGAGCATGTTAATTAGTGTCATTGTGCCTCAGTTTTCTCATCTGTAACATGGGCTTAGTTTTGTTATATACCCCCATGTGTTTTTGTGTTTTTTGTTTTGTTATATACCCCCATGTGTTTTCGTGTTTTTTGTTTGTTTGTTTCTTTGTTTGTTTGTTTTTTGAGACAGAGTTTCTTTCTTGTTGCCCAGAGTAGAGTGCAATGGCACGATCTTGGTTCACTGCAACCTCCACCTCCTGGGTTCAAGCAAGTCTCCGGCCTCAGCCTCCCAATTAGGTGGGACAACCGGCATGCACCACCATGCGAGGTTAATGTTTGTATTTTTAATAGAGATAGGGTTTCACCATGTTGGCCAGGCTGGTCTTGAACTCCTGACTTCAGGTGATCTGCCTGCCTCGCGCTCCCAAACTGCTAGGATTACAGATGTGAGCCACCGCGCCCAGCCAATGATGTAATAGTAATAAGAACATGCACTGTGTAAGTGACAAATAGACCAAAAACAAAATTAGATAAATTCCTGTACCCCATCAGGCATGGTATTATTACAACTTATTTTTCCTGTGATTATTTATTTGAACTTTCAAAGATACTTCTCTTCTATTGAAATTCTAGAATTTGTGTCACAAGTCAATCTTCACAACATCTATACCTTCTGTGTTTTTGTTTAAAGTCTTTAAAATTCAACTGTTTTAGGGCATTCCCTGCAACCTGGTTCAGGCTGTGTTTGCAATCCCATCTCCCATAGTTCCTTCATGTGATGCTCCACTTCAGTCATGTTGATAAAATCATAAAAACATCCTATTTGTCTTGCACCTGAGAGTGTGCCCAGGTCCTGGCATTCCTTCCCCACCCATGTTTCTCAGTAGGCCTTTGGAGATGCCAACACGGCTGCGGTGTCAAGTGGACTCATGAAGCACTAGGCCCTCAGGATACAATGGCTAATCATGTTCAGCATGGAAAATATCATATTTTCTTATTGACTTCCACATAAAATCCGAAAAAAAAGGTGACAAAGCAAAAACAAAACTGTCCTATGTTCAGTAGGATGGTATTAACTCAAACACAAATAACGGCTGAAAACAGAGAAAAGATGTAAAAGTCATAATTTAAATTTTTAAAAATGTGATTCTATGTTAATCGTCTTTAAAATCTTTGAAAAATATAGGTACTAAAATATAAATTAAATAGTGAGTACACATTGTATGTATATTATACATGTGTATTTAATATATATTATACATTTAATATATTTATATTTAATACATATTAAATATATATTTGATTTTTGTTTCTATATACAATTATTCGTATATCATTTAATGTATATGTATTAAAATAATTTTTCTAGTTAACAAGCCAAGTTTGTATACTTTCCTTTCTTTTCTTTTCTTTTTTTTTTTTTTTGAAACAGAGTCTCACACTGTGTCGCCCAGGCTGAAATGTAGTTGGGTGGTCTCGGCTCACTGTAACTTCTGCTTCCTGGGTTCAAGCAGCCTCCGAAGTAGCTGGGATTACAGGCATGTGCCACCACGCCTAGCTAATTTTTGTATTTTTAGTAGAGACGGGATTTCACCATGTTGGCCAGGCTGGTCTTCAACTCCTGACCTCAGGTGATCCGCCTGCCTCGGCCTCCGAAAGTGCTGGGATTACAGGCATGGGTCACCACGCCTGGCCAAGTTTGTATACTTTCATAGCAATTTAATACTTTTGGGGAAAATGCCATGTGAAAGACTATCTTTTGAATCCTGTGCCACACTACCCTAGAGTAATGAAATCCTACCTTTGTACATTTAAGTGTTTTGGTCATGTATATTCACATTCAGTTATAGCTACATATTGAATAAATGAGCTATTATTACATATTCACTGAGAAATCTTAATTGCATCTCAGGTTATGAGAGATACTTATTCAGATACTAATAGAAGACTTTAGTTTCAAGCTGTGAATATAAAGTGAGATTTGGGAAGTGCTAGAAGGATGGTGAGTTGCTTTTGCCTTGATTTTTTCTAAAAGGCAAAGCAGCAGCATTGTCTGTCTATACAGGGTCATCAGTTACAACGGGATGGTTAATTTTGCACAGTTATTATTCTTGCATAGTGAGGACTTGAACTTAGTTACTACCATTTATTATATATCTGCTTTTTTTAAAAAAAATCCCAGATTCCAAAGGCTAATAAAAACATGTAAAATTATTTCTTTTGGTTTAGATTTTTTTTCTTCACATGGATACAAATGCTCAATTATTCTTTCTTGTCCCACCTTTTTTATGTATTATGAGAAATGATTATATAGCTAATGTCCTAAATGCTAATGTAATAACAAATATCAGCTGCAATTAATCGGTGACCTATTTAGAATAAAAGTCCTTAAGAAGACACTTTTTTCTTGAACATTTAAACTTGTGTTACTCCAGTTTTATTATTAATTATGAACAGTAGTGTGAATTATTAATTTTAAAGTACATGTAAGTGTTATTTAGGATATTTTTTAAAAGTGCTATTCCCTTTATGAGTACTTCACAGTTTATATCACATCAGTAATTAATCTGTACTAGCTGTGTGACCTTGGGAAAGACATTTGGTTTGTAAACTATTCTATGCTTCAGTTTCCTCATCTGTAAATGGGGTTTATTGACATGTCACGAAGGTTATTATAGGTATTATAACACACACATACACAAGTTATTATAGGTTATTATAGGTATTATAACACACACATACACAAGTTATTATAGGTTATTATAGGTATTATAACACACACATACACAAGTTATTATAGGTTATTATAGGTATTATAACACACACATACACAAGTTATAGGTTATTATAGGTATTATAACACACACATACACAAGTTATTATAGGTTATTATAGGTATTGTAACACACACATACACAAGTTATTATAGGTTATTATAGGTATTATAACACACACATACACAAGTTATTATAGGTTATTATAGGTATTATAACACACACATACACAAGTTATTATAGGTATTATAACACATACACAAGTAATTATAGGTATTATAGGTATTATAACACACATACACATATAATATATATTATATATAATATAATATATAAATATATATAAATATATATTATAAATATATATATAGATATAAATATATTTATATAATTATATATATTTATATCTAGATATATTATATATATTTTATATGTATATTTATATCTATTTATAGATATATTTATATTTAGACTTATATCTATTTTATAGCTATAACTATATAAAGTATTTATATATTATAGATATATACACCTACTCGTGAGTATATATACATATAAATTTCTCTTTTAAAATGATTTTTACAGAATTATAATTATACAAATACATAATTATAGTTATATAATTACTGTAATTTCTTAAAATGATTATAAATTCCCAATGGCATCTTTGAGTCACCAATTGCCTGCACTTCCGCCTCAACACTTGCACCCCGAGAGCCACATCCAAAGCCTGCTTTTCTGTCTTTATTTAAGGAGGATGAGGGAGAAGTGAACCCAGGATGTCAAGCGTTCTCCTCTCTGACTTTCTCCTCACACCCTTCCACATGGAGGCATTCTGAGATTCAACGTGCACAAATCACTGGGGGGCAATCATGGATCTCTAGCAACTTCCTGCTGGCAAGTGGATTAGGATATCATGGCCAGTGATGTAGCTGATTGTGTTCGTTGTCAAAGAGGGAAGGAGGGTGTGAAAGAATCAGTATCGTGGCAGTGGGCATGCAGAAGTCATCTGCAAAATTCTGCAGTACCTTGAGCAACCCAGTGGAAAAGGAATACTGTGCATCCTTCTCTCCTGCTCTCAGTACATACCTGGCATCTAACTGATGCTTGGTTTCCAACCTGACAATTATTCTTCAAAAGAATAGGCATTCTGTGGGATGTTTACATCGGTGTGCTGGGCACATAGTATAGTCTGTAAAATTGTTGGCGCAGACTCCTGTGGAGCTCTCTTGGCACAGACAAACCTCTGTGTGTGTGTGCACCCGTATATGTAGCCACTTTATTTTTCTGTGATCGTATTGGACTTAGAGTTTTGGAGCTGAAAGCATTCTTGACCTAAACTGTTCACTTTCACTGTGAGACAGGTGCTGAAAGGTTAAGTGACTTTCTCCAGGTTGACAGAAAGTAGAGAGTTGTATGTATTTTCACTTTTACCTTGATAAGAGGAATTTTGTTTGATACAAATTTAGATCTAGAAGTCAATTTTTCTCTTCCTTCATTGGGAAAGAGGGAGAAGCAGATAATTACTGCCATTGAATGTTCTTCCATTATAAGACATAATGCTGAGGCATTCAGGGATGTGACATCCTGAAGATAACTCAGTGGTTTGGTCTGTCGTTAGATTCCCCTTTGAATGCGTCCCAGTTGATGCCATAAGATGTCAATGAAGGAAAATGCAGACAAACAATGGTAGAATGGGAGCGTGGGAACTGGTGGGGACATTTCATGAGGCAGGAATGAGGTGGGTGGGAGAGGTGCTGTGACAACCTGACGACACAGCCAGTGAGCCATGGTGCTGGAGCACCTCTGTTTTATTCTAGAACTCTCTGTATGATAGCATGCTGCTTCCACATAGTCAGAGGTCATTCTGTTAATAAGACAATTTTCAAAATGAGCTAGGTGGGGTATCTTTTTTGGTCCAGTTGGTCAAACAATAAAAAAAAATCACTGATCTATTTTGAAATAATATATTACTAACACACATACGTTGATAGAAGAGGAGGCTATCATGATTTTAAAGTTTTTAATCTGTTAAAAACAGTAATTCCACTTTTGAATCCTCTTTCTCTCATGTCCTATTTATTGTAGCCGAATGTGGAGCAAGTGTCAAAGGAAATGAAGGAACATTACTGTCTCCAAATTTTCCATCCAATTATGATAATAACCATGAGTGTATCTATAAAATAGAAACAGAAGCCGGCAAGGGCATCCACCTTAGAACACGAAGCTTCCAGCTGTTTGAAGGAGATACTCTAAAGGTAAAAAGAATCTTCTCCAACATGATGACTCCAAGTTTTCTTCTCAAAAAATACATTGTCTATCTATTTTTCTACATATAGATATATGCACATATTAACATATATTTTTATATATGATTTATTTGTATTTATTTACACAATGAGTTTGAGAAGGTGTAATGTCACTTCGCTTAGAGCAGTGTATGTGGACTTTGAAATAACTTTGTAGATAAACCTCGATCTAACATTTATCAGTCCAGCACCTTATGAAAGTTATTTAACACTTTTGATCTTCAGCTTCCTTATGTGTAACAAAATGCAATTGTACCTACCTTTCTGGACTGTCTTGAGGATTTAATACAATAATATAAGTGGATGTTCCTAGCATTGTGTCTAGCACATAGTTGTAATTATTAAAAGTTGCAGGATCCCCAAACCAACCCTTTCTGTAGTTAATCTTGATTTTTAAATGTGGTCATACTGTGGAAAGCTGGAAAGGTTCTGAAGTGATAATGGAGGTAAATCCAGCCACAGTGGTCAGATCACAGACAGGGCTGATGAGGAGAAGCCAAGCCAGGACAAGACAGAATCTCAATATTGATGGCAGGGGTACCCAGGTCCTGCGTTGATTGACAAAATCCCAGCTCCAACTAGAAATGCCCTTAACTTCTAAGAGTCCTGATATAATTTTCACCTCTCCTGTAAGTATTTCAATAAATTGGGAACCTTCCATGGCCTAGGGGTTGGAGAATGGGCAACCTAGCCTCAAGGCACTGAAAAGGAAAAGCTTCAAGAAACAAGAGCTAATGCTATAATACTATCTTGTCCAACCCGCGGCCCACAGGCCACATGCGGCCCAGCACAGCTTTGACTGTGGCCCAACACAAATTCGTAAACATATTTAAAACATTATGAGATGTTCTGTGATTTTTTTAAGCTTATCAGTTATCTTTAGTGTTAGTGCATTTTATGCGTGCCGCAAGACAATTCTTTCAACATGGCACAGGGAAGCCAAAATATTGGACTCCCCTGCTATAAATCATCCGTCCAGTCACCTGCTTATTTCAGCGAGGTGAGCAATTTAGTTGGACAGAAGCCTGGTTTCTGGCAAGAAAGGAACACGTGGCTCTTTTTATTCCCTTTTTAAAATTCTAGGGTTTTTCAATTAATTTACATCTACGTAGATGCACATAATGATGCATTTTAGATTCAGTATTGTCAACTCACTTTGAACTATGAGACTTCTAAGAGAATATGCAGAAAGCCAACTAAAAGGGAAAACACTGTGTGTCCTCCCTTTACAGAATGGCTGGAATGGAGCCCCCGCCGGGCTCCACTTGACCTCATTAGAAGTTATGTGCAAAGGTCAGGAGAAGCTTACAGATTAAAGGGCCTTACTTCCTCCTAAGGCCGCGTTTGCCTGTATTTCAATGTCATAATTTAGTAGAGTGGTTTTATTCTAGTTGTTCTTTCATTTTAATAGTCTTTTGAAATCTCACACTGGCAGTATGAGGGACTGTCATGAAGAAGTGGTTTTTAGGCAGGAAACTAGCACATTCTTACTAATCTAAAAAGAAATAGTTACATCGCAACTGAATTTTTTAATAACCTCAAATTTAGAAGTCAGTAAGCCTTTAAGGCAAAGTTTTAAATAACTCTTAACTATACTTTAGTGCAGGTGAATGATTAGAGATACTGCATAAAATACACAAGGATAAATATTATTGCAATGGAAGGAAGGAAATTATGTTCATTTGTGATTGCATGCTGTTTAAAGTTGATTATAACAAAAAGTTGTTTTTAAAAAAACGTGCTTCTCACATTTAATTACAGAGAAGCTGTCAGTCATATAAAATACCTACACATTTTGCAGGCATATATTTTGTTAAATATGCTAAAAAATATCTCTGTTAAAAATGTTTATAGTAAAATTATCTTAATTTTCAAGCCTAATGCTGTTCACATTGATCCTTCGCACATACTGTGATGTAATAATAAAGACTAAAATTTTATATACACGCACCCCCTGCACACGTAAATAAACATGATGTTTTCTTGCTTCATGTGGAAAAATCATGTAAGAGATATCGAGCTCTCAGAAGCATGTCATGAAAGGAATATAGAATGGAAAACGCAATTAATTTTGGAAATAAATCTGCAGGGTATAGTTTCTGTAAAACTGGGAAAGATTTCCCCAGAACTTTCAATGTTGTCATGCTAGCATTCTGTGTGATGTCTTCTAATCTGTGATCATCAGCTAACCCAGCAACATCCCTTGAGTATATGGCATTAAATGCTGAACTCTGAGGAGGGTTTGTAGTGCAGATACTTACAGGCTTGTATTAAACATATGAATCCCAAAGACTTTCTCTAATAACTGAAAAGAACCCTTTGAATCTAGCTACTTATAGGTGAAAAAATATAACTAGGAAATGTTGTACAGAACAGGTGTAGCCTGTTCCTCATCCAATTGGAATCAGAAATCAAGTCTTCTGACTTCCACTCCTATCTGGGTTTTTATTTGTGATCAGTGCGAAACCTGAACCCAGATTTTAACTTTAGAGAACTGACAGGGGAGTGTTCCATGTTCATCAACGACATACACTTTCTCTGGGGTTTCGGTGGTTGGACCCAGTGCTGATTGCTGATGACATGGATAAAGAACGCAGAATTGTTGTTCTGAAGAATCTTACGATTCAGCTTTTGAGCTGTTCATTTTTAGTGGTTGTAACCATGAAGCCACTGGGAGCAAGGTGCAATCTCTCAGGGATCCACGGTGCGCTTGGTCAAGTCCTCATGAGGACACGGGGAAGCCAAGATTCAGGAGAGCGGATGAACCTACAGTGTGTCAGGACCCAGCAGGGGCTTCACTGAGTGTCTAGTTCTTTCGTATTTCCCCATCTTTATGGATTTCTGTCAATTACAGACAATTCCATGGTATACGGGGTAGCCCAAGGCCTTCCTAGGGAGACCTGCACCTTTTCTCTTTGACCCAGATTCCTCTGGAATTAAAACCATTTAGTCTCTGGATGTCAGACCCCGGCTCGTCTAATAAAAACATGGAATAAACCAAATAATGGTTTTTACACAATGACCTGGGTCAATAGTCTTTTAGTAAGGAGATTAGAGAGTATCTGATTCTACCCCACTAGCATGTGCATATTTAATTGTAATGAAATAACTACCCACAAAATTATCTTTTCTAAATGTATTTTCTCCTTTTCTGAGTATCTATATCTGTGTACATCCCTGGGTTTATATATTGATTGAAAGACAATGAAAGAAAAATTAATCTGTATAAAGAGGAAAGAAGTGGGGAAAATAGACAAACACATTGGAAGAGCCTACTAAGACTCTGTTTAATTTTATTTAGTTAGGGTACCATTTTTCTATTAAGACAAACTGAACATTTTCCAATATCGTGTAATAAATGTTTATTTTTACAGCCCCCTGCTAGTGAGGGAGGCAGGTGGATTAGCCGTGCCCACCTAGTGCTCTGTTGTTATTGGGAGCGAGGACTGCTGCATTGACTTTTTTATTTTACTTTATTTTATTTTATCTTAAGCTCTGGGATACGTGTGCAGGAAGTGCAGGCTTGTTACCCAGGTATACATGTGCCATGGTGATTTGCTGCACCTTTCAACCCATCATCTAGGTTTTAAGCCCCGCATGCATTAGGTATTTGTCCTACTAGAAAGTCAGTGCTGTTTCTGTTACCTGAGCCTCATGGCATTGGCAGAAAGTGCATGGGTCCTAAACACTTTTACCCGATCCTCATTCAGATTATGATGGTGACACAGACCCACTGCTCCCCACCATGTGACCTGTCTCCCCACTAGTTGGGAACCCATGACTGAACCTTCCCTCTCCCGGCTGGTCAAAACCAAGCCTTGTCTTCCTTATCTTCCGTATACTTATTACATCTACTCTCGTTTTACAACTGCTTGGGAAGATAATGCCACATACAGAGCATTTTAAGCAACATCACACTTCTGTATTACTATTGCATGATGAGATACTTCTGTTATTTCAAATTCAAGATGAAAGCCACCGGAGGCTTGCAGACTACAGAATGTGACAAGATTCCGGCACATCTTGTTGTCCTTTAGTGCATTCAGACAGAAGGGAATAGAAAGGAAGGGTATGTTCTTTGACTTAGTTGAGAGTTCAGAGGAGATATTCAAGACTAAAATATTATAAATCCTTTTTACTTTTATAACTGAACTATGAGAAAAGGAATAAAAAGGTAGATAATGAAACCTGGAAATGTAAAGAAATATTTATTTAATTTTAAATGAACACAGAAAGAGCTCTTAAAGTAATGAATATAAAATGATCTGAACAAGAATGGAATCTTTTGCCTCCAGTGTTAATGGTAAAGATAAAATTTAAAGAACAAATATGATTTAGCTCTAAGTCCTTCATTTATCTTTCTGTAAACTATATGCCTTTTTAAGTATTGTTTAAAACTGCATCTTTGAAGATTTGGATTGTTTATTACCATTGCTAACATAAGAATCCAGTGAAGGCATAGAGGGACTCATGCTGTGAATTTTCATCAGGTATATGATGGAAAAGACAGTTCCTCACGTCCACTGGGCACGTTCACTAAAAATGAACTTCTGGGGCTGATCCTAAACAGCACATCCAATCACCTGTGGCTAGAGTTCAACACCAATGGATCTGACACCGACCAAGGTTTTCAACTCACCTATACCAGTAAGTAACATACGACTTAATCACGTTCTTTTTTCATTTTGTCAGGACATATCTGATACTTGGCTTATATTAAGTTTTAAATATTGATTTTTTTCTGGCTGCCTACTGTGTTTTTGATTGCAGTTTAATTCTGTACTCTGTTGACTGGTTGTATATTCGGACACATTACTAGTAGCTTGAAATTTATCTATTTGGAAATATTAATTCAAATAACAAAATAGTTGGACCTGAAAAGGAAACGTCTTACAACATTTTAGATCTGATGGGCTTAAATATATTGATTGGGGTATAGTATACATTGATACAAATTCATGTGCTTATATATGAAGGCTTTAGAAGAGATGTTTGATACAACCGGAGGTAATAGACTTTGAATGACACACACACACACACATACACACATATATTTATACATTTAATCATATATATGTATAAGCACACACACACACAACAACTACATAATATGTAGTAAACTATTTTCTTTTCACCATTAATTTTTGAGACGAGAGAACTAAGAGGAATACTTTGAATACTTGCCAGAGATAACAGTTTTAAGAGTTGGTGGAGCCAGGATTGAAGCTGTAGCTCCCAGTTATCGGTGCTTCCCATCATCTGTATGAACAAATCAATGTGGAATATGTTTTTAAAGATGTAAATGAAGAAGCCAAAAGAACAGGGAAATAAAAGAGATGCTGTGTTTCAAAAGTAGGAATTTGCAAAGTGATAACTGCCACTTTCAGCATTTTTAGTTCTGAAGTAAAAGAAAAAGCTATTTGGTGTGGATAAGTAATTAAAATTAACTAATTAATTAAAATGTTTAAAGTATATAAAATTGTCAAATCCTTCACTCATCTGATAAATGTAAAAACTATATCATACTGAACACCATGACATTAGAAATTTAAAAGTTTGGGTTTTTGAGCATAAAAGTATGTTAGTGATGGATACCTTTATTTGATGGATAGGCAAAAAAGGTCCTGCAAAAGATAATAATCATCCCACAGACCCAGAGCTAATCCAGGAGCCTAAGACGAAGATTAATCACCTCAAATCCCTCTTAGGAGGAAAAAATCACAGGTGAAGAATTGTAAGACTTTGGCCAAAAAATAGAATAAGTGTGGCTGAAATCATGAGGAAACCAGTTTTTCACCTTTGTGATAATACCATTGAAAAGACTGAGTAAATAGAAAGCCTATGAATTAATATTTGTGCACAATAAACTGATAACAATTGATGTTACAAGATCAACCTATAATTATAAAATTTTTACTAGAATTTTACCTTCCAGGATTTCCCTCTCAGAAATGTCTCAAAGAGCTCTTGTAAAACCATTTTGCTTGCAGATGGAATGAATGCTATTGTGATTGTTTTTTCCACTTCTCGTCCCTGTCGAGATGTTCAATGTATTTTGTTTTCTTACTTGGATGTCTTCATCCCCGCTTCCTTGCCCCTACACTAGTCTTAGAGGAACACAGATACTTGAGAAGAAAAACTGTTTGAAAAGCCTGTGGGTAAATTAAATTTTGTCTAATTACGGGGAAGTTCCATGCACACCTACGGCGTTCTTCCAGTTCTCTTGCCACTGAACACATTTTCGTTGCTTTTTCTTACAAATCCTGCCCCTGCTATGGCTCCCTGGGCAAAGAGCAGAAAACGTTGGCCTGGGATCCTCCCTCTCTCCTGGGACCTCACTCTCAACACTGCTGCAATTTGCGATGTTACTAAGCTCACTTTTTCCCTTCCTGTGGCTGCTTCACAAAAAACACATTGTGCTCAGCTCGTGTGTTATTTCTCATTACGTTTCCAACCCTAGTAACTGTTTCCCATGTTCCTCCGACTATTTCCAGTTGGAATGATTTCTCATTTGTAAACACTTGGTCTCATTTTCTCATGGTGATGCAAAAAGTATCCAGAAGAAGATTTATGCATACTGGAATTTCAGGGGCTTGGAATCAATGTAGGGATACTGAGCTGTTTCCATAATTCTGAAGCCTCTTCTGTTGTCCAGGTAGCAGTTAGGAAGGTCCATGTGCTCCAGAGCCGTGTGACCGTATGGAAACTATAGGTGGTCGGCTTGTTCCATGTTGATGTCCACCCTCCCTCACCCAGAAGGCTTGCGTCAGTGGGCGAGGCTCAGCCCTGCCTGGACCCCACATGGATACTGTGACTCTATTGCTCCCCGGCATCCAGCATCACTTTAGGAAGTTTTGAGGTCACTTCCACTTCACTGAGTAACTTTGTAAAAGCTTGAATCTATTCATCTGTTTGTGGGCACTTTCCAATTCTACAGACATTTTTGATTACATAGTAGCACAAATGTTCTATAAATAGGAGAAAGAAATATTGGAGAGGATTGGCACTTAGCTCTTATTATAATCAATTTGACAGGAGTAATTTTCTTGTTCTCCCTGTTTCACCTTTCTGTTCCACCTGCAAAACCCGGAGACTCCTCAGGTCTCCTTTGCAAGATTATCTTAGAGCTGGAACATACTGTCTGGTGGGAAGATATATTTGTAATAGAAAATTGGTGGTGCTGATGGCCATATAATCAAAATAGTATTAACCTCACATTAAATTGTTAGTTGTAAATATAAGTAAATAAGCTGAAGAAATCCCCAGCTCCCCAAGGTCATCAAATACCTGAATCAAATATTTATTCCAAAAAGATGTCTCAGAAATGATGACCGGTTAGATAAAATATTTTACGCAAGTTATTTATGCTTAAGACTGTGTAAAGACACTTTCAGCTATTTTCAAAAGACTTTTGTAATTGCCTCTTGATAGTTAATTGCACTACTTAAGGAAACATTAGTATTTAAATGTTTCAGATCCATAATTAATGCATATACATGAGTAGATTAGAAAATGTCAACAGAGAGTAAAATATATAGCTTAATAAAAAAAAACCCTAACATTTTTAGAAATGGGTACAAACAATATTTCTTTATCCCTTCATATTTATAAAAGCATACACTTAGGGACCTTTCAACTTTACAATCCTGGTAATTCCAGGTCTTGGGAAATAGCTCCTTCTACTCTTCTTTATGAATTAAAAACCGAGTCTTCAGATATTTTAGTAATTTGCTGCACACAGGGAGTGGTGTAATTGCAACCCAAATCCAGGCCTTCTAACTGAATACCAGAATTGCTGATGAACTTATTTTCAACGATTTTCGGTGATCCTCATTTGGCAGGCATCAAGTATATTGACCGATATTGATACATGCAGAGGAATTGCCTGGGAAGAAAAACCAGAGTATCTTTGGGCCAAATCGGAATAAATACGTTGCTGAATAGGCATTTATTAAGCAAGTACTGTTTTCTGAATAGTAAGTCAGACCAAAATAAAACTTTAAAAGTGTACCTTCGTTAGAAAACACTGCTTTTTATTACAGACTTGTCTATGTTCATACCAGATAATATGCTTCTGGTGTATAATGATGTCCAATGGAGCCATAACCCATAGCTCTGTGAAATCGGGGACAATGAGTGTCCACTTGTTTGTACTTCTTCGCACCTTACACAGATGTGTGATCTGTGACATAAGAAGCTTAGAATGGATGATTGTCATTCAAATTGTATTCCCTGGTGACACTGAGGGTCCACAGAGCTGTATCAGGCAAGAAGTAAGAGTTTCACCTGAAGTAACAGAAGCATTGGATATCAGAGTAGCCCTCTGAGAGTAATTTATTGATATTGACATAGGGTTTCCGGTACATGGACCAGCTTCGTCAATTATTTCAAATTACGGAACTGGCATTCTGATGTTAAAGTCCCATTGGCCCTCTGATGAGATAAATCTATTTTGGGTACACCGATGGAACCAGAATTCTGAGCCTACCAAATCACCCAGGGAATGCTTTTGAAAGACAGCTGGCTAGCTTTCCTAAGGCAACCCCCCTACCCTTGGCTCTTAAAAGTCTCACTTTTTTGATAGAGAAGAGAACCCATAGTCAGGAACATCTTTAAAGTGTTCTGCAAACAGAGGCTTGAAGTGAAGGGCCTGTGAAAATGGATGAGGAATTACAGATGGGTATAAACGACATTCCAAAGAAACACTGAAAGGCTGGATCAAGAAAATGTGGCACATATACACCATGGAATACTATGCAGCCATAAAAAATGATGAGTTCATGTCCTTTGTAGGGACATGGATGAAATTGGAAATCATCATTCTCAGTAAACTATCGCAAGAACAAACAACCAAACACCGCATATTCTCACTCATAGGTGGGAATTGAACAATGAGATCACATGGACACAGGAAGGGGAATATCACACTCAGGGGACTGTTGTGGGGTGGGGGGAGGGGGGAGGGAGAGCATCGGGAGATATACGTAATGCTAGATGACGAGTTAGTGGGTGCAGCGCACCAGCATGGCACATGTATACATATGTAACTAACCTGCACAATGTGCACATGTACCCTAAAACTTAAAGTTAATTAAAAATATAAAAATAAAAATTTAAAAAAAAAAAAAAGAAAGGCTGGAGATGAACAGCTGGATCTGCATGATAGAGCTGCCACAATTCCATATGGCAACTTTGTACCAATTATTTTAAAAAGAAAAAAATAAAGCCCTTTCTCTGGAAAGTTACAGTCCTCAGGATGCACCCTGCAGAAGTGCACTGGCCAGCCCTGAAAATGAATCAGCTGCATAGCTGGTATCACGGGAGAGGCCCTGACTCTGAGCCCAGGCACTTGGCAACAACAGTGTTTAATTTAAAGACAGGGAAATAGGGACATTCACAATTCTTTCTCTTCATCCTGCCCCACAACCAGATTTCTCATCCCTGCTGAATTTTCATTTTTGGGGGATCCTGAATTGGTCCCCTCATCACTATCCTGAATTCTCTGTCTATCCCTTTCTTGTACTTAGCTGTGTTTTGATTTACACAATTTCCATTATTTTATTTATGTACTTGGTCAGGGTCTACTGCCCTCATTCACTTGCTAGTTTCCGTTCTGTGGACACTGACTCAACTTGTCAAGAAACGCCCAGCACCCACGCATGACTAAGCCACTCCCTGGGCATAGAGGCGTGGATGCCAGGGTGACCTGGACATGGAGATGAGACAGGCATACACGTGTGGTTCAACAACTGGATTCAGATATCAAATACGTTGTGTCTTGTGGCTGGTTTTAGCACCTCAGAGGGATGACAGACTCCTCAAGGGGGTCCTTTTGTATTTGCATTTATTTTTGGACACAATTCCAATCCCACAACGCCTGCTTGGCATTAAGTTTCATGAATGATATCGCTTGGGAAATAAAAGCATCTGCCAAAGTAGGAAGCTAGAGAAGTGTCTACTGTTCAGACGTGGTGAAGAGGCTCATTAGGGAAAACCTAGCCGAGCTTCCCTTCCACAAAGCACCAGTGATTCCTGGCCAGGGTATATTGGCAGAAGTTTGAACAGAGGTAGAAGAAACATCATAAACACTTACGGTTTGGGTTTGTAGCAGAGCCACTCAAAGGAATACTTTTGTTTAATGACTCATAAAATAATCAGATCCCTATAGGCTGACTTTCTCTCTACCCATTAGGCCGATTCCAGGTGAATGTGTGATCAGTGCCCAAACTCCTAGGGAGCACTTGATCTCAGCAGACGCAAGACTGGTCTTTGAATCATTTTGAGATGGTTGAGCTTAAGGCCATGGACCTCTCTGTCCAGGCGCTGGTTTTGTGGATATGCATTCCCTGTACATCAGCATTAGACATAGCATTGATGAAAGAGTGGCCATCGCTTACCGAGAACATCCTCTGTCATTCTTTACACCTATCTCATTGTTTAGGCAAGACTGCCAACCGCAAAGAGATCTTTGAAGCCATCAAAATAAACGCAAGCTTAAATTTTGGTTGTAGAATAAACCTTGTGGCTGAGAGTCAGGCACGGGTGTAATTATGCAGAACAATGACTTTCCCTGGCTTGCTTCTAAGGGATGCTTCATAAATATTTGCTGAATAGATACAAAAAGGTTTAATTAAAAAGTGATGAATAATAAAAGCAATTTATTTCATCCAAATTGGTATGTTTATCAAAATATTTTCTGCTTTTGAAAGGTTCTAGACTTTGAGATAAGTAAGGAGACGGAAGATGGGGATAGGGCGAGTCGTTGCGTTGGTTTGTGGCAGAGTCATGTACTGAACCCTTTTCAGTCTTCTTCTTGTCATGCCCAGGGTTCCAGGGGATTAGTCAGCTGTGCTTTTGAGGCAGGGGGACAGCAAGGCCTGGCCAACCCCAGCTCCAGCCTCCCCAGAAAGTTACAGTTCACAGGACACACCCTCAGGCACAGCTCCTGTCTAATTTATATAGCAACTGGCATAAGGTCAGTCTCCTAGAACTAACTGACTTTTTTTAGGGGAGCATTATTACAAGACCTGTGTTTTGGAGAAGGCTTGTTGGACTAGGATCTGACCATCTCAGACATGCTACAGATTAAGGTCAATGCCAGGTGCTATATGAATTAGACAGGAGCTGTGCCTGTCCTGGAAGCCCACACACAGCCCAGGGCCAGCGATGCATGCAGCTGGGGGCGGGACTCTGAATCTGTTCTGAAAACAGGAAGTTAGGTGTGCAGGGCTCTCGCCCACATCGGGAACAGTCTCTGGGTCCTCTGTCTGGATGGGGGCACAGGGCTCTGTGATGAAGTACATGCTCTCAGTGTGCCCCTTGCTCTGTGGTAAAGTGAGACAAAATCAGAGCGGGGTAAAGCATCTTTCCTCTAGTTCCTTACTCTGTTCAATCCCAACCACCACACTTTTTCCCAGTGTTGATTTTATCTGTGAAGCAGGGACAATAATAGTTTACTTTTCTAACTTATGTAGAAAACACATATGAAATGGCTTTTGAAAACATCCAAGTGCTATATGAATTTAAGTATGTTTTTCTTCAGACTCTGTATAACAGGGGTCATGAAAAAGGCTATAGAAGGTGACACATGTCTCTTGGCATAGGAATGCCTACAATTTGTGATGGGAAGTGGAGACAGTTCTCAGGGTTCAGGGGCCTTGGAAACACTCATAATACCCCAAGTTGCAAAGGGACTGATTAGCATGTATTGTAACTCACACACGAAGGCCTTGCTATGATCTAACTTAATACTGATGAAAACCCCACAGTTACTATTTTTCTACTGCCTTAGGTATGAGGGAACAGAGGTTTGGAGAAACCTGCCCATGGTTCCATGGTTCAGGAGGGATAGGGATTTTTTTCTAACTTCAGTTACTCAAAGCACTTTGTACGTTAACCTCAACACAGTCCTATGGGAGAAATGTTTTCTAGGCTTAAGGATTACTCATCGTCCTCTGCATGTAAATTAGCCCAAAATAAAAATCTACAAGCGCTGGGTAGGAAGGCCAGACTTTTGAGAACAGAGAAGCCTTGGATCAGGTTTCTACCTTCTGCTCTTTGAACTTCCATCCATGAATTCACCTCTCTGAGCCCAGTCTCCACCCTGGCAAAATGCAAATAATAGTAAAGCACTGTGCAGATTTGTTGTGAGAATTAGTGACATTGTATAGAACATCCAGCTCTGTGTCTGCTCTACTCTTAGGTGACATTCCATACACAGAAGCCATTGTTACCATTAACCTTTATTTATTATTATTATTTTCTTGAGTCGGAGTCTCACTCTGTCACCCAGGCTGGAGTGCAATGGCACGAGCTCGACTCATTGCACTTCCACCTCTCAGGTTCAAGCGATTCTCCTGACTCAGCCTCCCTAGTAGCTGGGATTACAGGTACCCAACACCACACCCGGCTAATTTTGTATTTTTAGTAGAGACGGAGTTTCTCTATGTTGGTCAGGCTGGTCTCGATCTCCCGACCTCAGATGATCCACCCGCCTTGGCCTCCCAAAGTGATGGGATTACAGGCGTGAGCCACCATGCCTGGCCAAACCTTTCTTCTTATATGAAATGTGAGACCATTTGTGTCGTTGGGACACACACCACTGGCTGTGTGTGATGGAGGGGAAATTGATCCTGTCACTGTGCTCTTCATGGCACGGTCATCACAGTGACTGAGAGGTTGGAACTGTGAATTCGTAACACAGAGCAGAGGGTATGGGCAAAAGGAACCATTAGAGGCTGGTTCACCAATACCCCTAACAAGTGACATGAGAGGGAGGGAGAGAGAAACATAGTGGTGTAGGATGTCCAACCACCATTGACTGCAGGCACCTCCAGGGTCCTGGGCTCCTCTCGGTTTCATGAGTCATAGCTATACTTCTCACTCTGCCATGAGCTGTATCAGAAATGTTTAAGAGACAGTATCATCTCCTAGAATTAACTCACTTTTTTCAGGGGAGCATTATTACAAGAGTTGTGTTTTGGAGAAGGCTCGTTGGACTAGGAGCTGACGCTCTTAGCCGTGCTACAGATGCAATGGGATCACCCAGTGGTGACACATTGCAGCTCCCCAGCAGGCTGTGCTGCCACCTGCAGTGTGGATCTGCAGACTGCCTGGTCATACTCAGTTTAAAGAACATTAGAGAGAGACCTAGGAAGTCCCACTCTACTTACTCTGCAAATTCAATGTGAAATAAAAAAGAATGGCATCCATTCTGTAAAATGGCCCATCCATTTGCAGCCGTTTGCACTGCAGCTCCATATTTATGTTTTTGCCACAATAAGTAAAAGGTGAAGGTGGGTGATCTGATATTGACGACTAATTCTGAAGACATTACAACGTAGCCTGTGGATGCGAAAATTAAAGCATGGAGCTGTGGGTTTATGTAGCTGTCATGCTGGTTTTATTAACACATTGATACAATAAAAATGACATCAACATTAAATATACTATTATAAATGACAGAGTGGCTTTGAAAATAAAAATGACATCAACATTAAACATACTACTATAAATGAGAGAGTGGCTTTGGACAGGAATACACTCTCAGGACCGATACAGAAGCACTAAGCATTGTCATTTTGGTGCTTGAAAACAAGGAGAAAATATTGCAAGCATGAAGTGTACACAGCTGCTGAATGCAATCAATTACTGGAAACAAACCTGAAGGTGAAGAGCAGGGTATGTCAGAATCCATCATTTGGAGTCCCTGAAATTATGCGTTGATCAAGAGAGATAATGCTTTCTTTATAGGATTGACTGATACCTTGAAAAGGTTGATGTCATTTTCTTCTGGCATCCTCTCCCACCTATCTCTACCCAAACACATCAGTAGACACTCTGTGTGCGTCTCATATAGATTCTTTCAATGCCTTCACCTCCCTGGCTATGAGTAAGATATAAAAGGGCATCACGATGGGTCCATGTCATCATTGATTACTTCTTTTTAAGAACTAGATTTTGGAAATCCTATACAAGCTGAGGGGCAGTCCTCAAATGCACATTTTCTACAATCTAATTTTGTCAATAATAAAGACACTCACAGATTTCCCAGACATTCTTGGTTGTGATGTGTAAGCATTGCTGTTTTAAAGTAAAAGAGATTATAGTATTCAAAGAATAGCATTCACTGCCTTCTTGCTTTTTACGGTGTATTATATTTTAGGAAATTGAGTCAAAGCATCTTTTCATCCAGTGAGTAGTTTTAAAAATTATTCACAACCATGCTAAGAACCAGGGGAAAGTATAGAATAGGGTTATAAAAATAAGGAAATATTCAGCCTGCACGTAAATCCACACTCACAGATTTTTACTTATTTCAATAAAGATTAAGATTATGGCAAACATATTATGCTGCTCTAATATCTACTCCTGGCATTGCAGTATCTGTGTAGTTTGTAAATTGCAGTATCTATATATCATTTGTAAATAAAAGCTTACGGCAAAATTTTGTTTTTACATAGCTGTTAACCTAGCTGAGAAAAACGTTGGGAAAATATCCAATAAGCAGTGTTTGTTTTTCCCACAGTTAACTTGTAGATAATTTTATAAAGTGTTTTAAAGTGTTTTCAAATAATAGGCAGTGTTGTGTACCTTAGTTTTCTATTGCTCTGTAACAAAATACCACACGTGTAGGGGCCTGAAACAGCACCGTTTCTTATCTCACAGCATCCGTGGGTCAGGAGCCCAGACACGGCTTGGCTGGGTCTTCTCTCAGGGTCTCACAAGGACGTGACCAGGTGTTGGCTGGGCTGTGGTCTCATCTGAGTGTCAGGGGCCTCTTCAGGCTGTCAGCAGAACTCAGGTCGTCACAGTGGTCAGACTGAGACTCCCAGCTCCTTGGTGCCACTGGCATTTCCCTGCCACGTGGCTGTGGTCTTCTCTGGGCAGGGCGTGTCCTTGCTGGCTTCTCCAAAGCCATGGGGAGCCCTCACCTCATGGAGGCCAGACCCTCTTTCAAGGGCTTTCCCTGGATTGAGTCAGGCTCCGTATCTTGACAAACTCAGCATCGACAGAACAGACACTTCCGTGGCATCTGGTGCTCTCACACTTGCCATGTTCAGTTGTCAGCTCAAGTCACAGACTGTGCCCACACTCAAGGAAGGAGAAGAATCATTCATACATCCAGGGTTGGAGCAGCAGGAGGTGAGGGCATCAGGGTCCCTGCAACATCTGCCCGTCAGAGTTTCCTATTTAGGAATGTTTTCCTTCCATCTCAGATAATTTCATTTAAAATAAAGTGTGTGTGTGTGCGCACGCACACATGCACGCACTCCCACACACACTTGAAGACATAAAGTATATATTTAATAAAGGGAATGTACAATTCATTGCTTACATGTACTTTTAAAGTTTCAGGAAATATTTCAGCTTACAGTAGTTAATCTGTTGTCTGCAAATAAAACAGGTTTCAGCGGTGACATTCTGAATGGTCACAGGCATAGTTTTATTATGTGCCTCGATCTTCCCTAAGCATCAGCCTCACTGCAGCTCCGGTTGGCCTTCCAGGCCCCTCCTCTCCTCTTCCCAGCTAATTCAGGCCCCACCTGGAGAGACTCAGAGATGTCTGGAGGTGGGTGAGGAGCGGGCAAGCCCTCAGCAACCCCACCTTCCCTTCTCTGCTAGGAAAAGCTTACAAGAGGGTCTTATTCACATGCAAAGCAAGAGGGCAGGATACAATTGTCATCAATGTTTAATCTTAGAGATGACGTTTTAAGGAAAAGTCATTGTTTTCATGCCATCAAGCAGTAGTTTTGGATAATATCCGTGCATCTAATAGATATCTCAACAAACATTTACATTTATGTATCATACCTGTCATCATCTATCATCTATCCCTACGTATCTATCATGTGTCTGTCAATTAATTGATCATCTATTGATTGATAATCTATGATCTATTATCATTCTGTCTATATCCATCTATTACATATGTATCTACTGATTGACGAGGCAATTATCTATCATTATTTATCTATGATCTGTTTTTATCTATCTAGCTATCTATTATCAGTCACCTGTCAACAATGATCTTCTGAATTTCTCTCTGGAGGACAGGACACTCTACTCTTACATAGGCCAGAAAAGTTGTACATTGAAATGAATCAAGTTTACACATAAAGAAATAGGAGTAACTGCTATTCAATATATCATTCACACGGTAACTTTAAAGATCTGGCATGAAGCCCTGAAGGTCAGATACCAAGTTCATTCCAGGTACATACGCAAGAGAAACCGCCAGCTGTGTCTTTGGGGGCCATGGTAAAAGAGAAATATTGGATAATATATCAATGAGCACTGACCACGTGCCAGGCAATTCACATTCATTGTCTCATTTTATCTCCAAAGTAGCCCTTTGAAGATGATCCTTTTGTTATTTTCAGTTTAAAGACAGGAAACCGAGGGTTCCATAAGTTAAGGTCCTATCATTAGTGAGTGGCAGCACCAGGATTCAAACCCTGTTAGTATAATCCAAAGCTCAAGAGCTTCCCACTGATACATCATAAGCATTCTGTGTTTTCACCGCATCAGATAAAAATGGCCACCAACTCATGGCCACTGTTAGCAAACATCTGAAATTATGTGGGATTTTGATCAGTGCCTCTGGTTACATGATTCTTTACCACAGATATCAACGTTAGTTGCTCCCTCAGTCTGAAATCAGAATCTAAATAGGGAAGTTGCTTTTCTTTTTTTTTTTTTTTGAGACGGAGTCTCGTTCTGTCGGCCAGGCTGGAGTGCAGTGGCACGATCTCGGCTCACTGCAAGCTCCACCTCCCGGGTTCACACCATTCTCCTGCCTCAGCCTCCTGAATAGCTGGGACTACAGGCACCCGCCACCACGCCAGGCTAATTTTTTGTATTTTTAGTAGAGATGGGGTTTCACTGTGGTCTCGATATCCTGACCTGGTGATCCGCCCGCCTCGGCCTCCCAAAGTCCTGGGATTACAGGCGTGAGCCACCGCGCCCGGCACTGTTGCTTTTCTTTTATATTTGAAATATTTTATTTAAGATGTCATCTCTCATACGTGGTAAGAAGTAATATTTTAGCATTTTCATGAGGTAAATAAAAAATAAAAACAGTTTTGCTATAGTATCCTACCTGCTGATAATTCATTCCTATATCCATGGGAGAGCAACAAAATTCAAAATAAAGTATTTGCTTTTTAATCTTAGTTTATTATTGTAACTTTTGTTTTAGGTTTGGGGCACAGGTGCAGGTTTGTTATTTGGGTAAACTCATGTCACGGGGGTTTGTTGTACAGATTATTTGGTCACCCAGGCACTAAGCCTAGTACCCATTAGTTATGTTTGCTGATCCTCTCCCTCTTCTCATCCTCCACCCTCCAATAGGCCCCAGGGTCTGTCATCCCCTTCTTTGTGTTCATGAGTTCACACCATTTAGCTCCTGCTTAGAAGTGAGATCACGCGGTATTTGGTTTCCTGTTTCTGCCTTAGTTTGCTAACGATAATACCCTCCAGCTCCATCCATGTTCTCACAAAAGACATGATCTCATTCCTTTTTATGGCTGTGTAGTATTCCATGGTGTATATGTACCATACTTTCTTTATCCAGTCTCTCGCTGATGGGCACTTAGATTGAGTCTTTGTCTTTGCTATTGTGAATACTGCTGCATCGAACATATGCATGAGTATGTCTTTATGGTAGAACAGTTTATGTTCCTCTGAGTATAGGCAAGTTGTTTTTAACCATATGTTCCTTCATTGTTTCTAAGAAAATGAAATGAAGAATGCTATAGTAATTGAAGAAGTTTATCAATGTAAGGAGAAATCTCTTGAATGACATTTCTGTCTGCAGGGCTCTCTACCCACTACCCTGCTTTGACCTGGGAGGAGCTGCACCCAGGGATGGGGCCACACCATGACTGCCATGGGCTTGAGCTTCTTATACAGTCCATTCCTCCACACAAAACATCAAACATTTCTTCTCATGACTGTGTGCCTATAACTATCAATAGATGATTGTATATTAATACAGTTTCTTTAACCCAGAAATTTACTTTTTTCTTCTGATTTAAGGAAATCAAAGCATTTCCATGAGCCTCTAAAGAGACTGTGGGCCATAGGCACTGTGCCCTGTGCCCCTAGCAAGTAAGTTAGCCCCTAGCAGACAAGGAGAGAAGGCAGAAAAGGCTCACTCACAATGCATCACCCTGCACAGACTGATGGCATGGCCTCTGCTCACACTCTTCAGTTAGCACTGGTCCTGCAGGCCCATGCGGCCCCGGGGCTGGGCAACTCTTTCTGGTAATGGGGCTTTACTTTTGATGGCAGGCAGACCTTTGTAGTAGCCTGAGCTCCAACCTGTGAAGGGGACGCACTCATGGTACATGAGAAGGGTAAATACGGCTGTCTGTGATTGCATAGGCCTTGGGAAGGGAACTGCTGCACATTCTCATGGGGAAAAGATGTTAACTAGATAACAGTAGTCTGTGTGTGGCTGCCGCAGTTTCCCCGTTCATCATATATGCTCCCCTGTAATGTGGAACACATCTCGAACTCTCCATCTGCTTGAAGGGTCTTTTCTGTCCCCTGCTTATCATTCCTTTCTCCTGCAGAACTGGGCTCTGTCACGCTGCAAATGGGTCATGATGAAGCCTGCTCTTAGGGGTCCGGCTGTCCAGAGTCCCCTTTGCTTGCTGGAAATGTGTCTTATAGGGTTCACTTTTGCTGTCAATGACCACTTTCCTAGCTCAGCCTCCTCTGTTATTGATAATATCCTAAAACAAGGTCATTTTTCAATGCCCTCTTGAGTGCTATGGCATCGCCTCTCTCCTTCAATTACATATCTTCCACCTCCATTCTATGCCAACATCTGGCATCTTCTCTCTCCCTCAACTACATATCTTCCACCTCCATTCCATGCCAACAGCAGCCTCCATATTTAGGTAAATTTTTTCAGCCCTAGGTTCTTCCTGATGCTTTCTTCACTTCCCTTTGGTACATGATAATGGAATTCTGGGATGTAATAGACTTGAGCCCAAGCACGTTATAATAAAATACTTGCTGTCTTATTTTGAAGGAATGATATAATGACCTTAAGACTCTTCATGGATATTACTAAGAGTTTAGTGCCTTTTATTTAAAAGATATCATATATAACTAATTCCCCAATTTAATTTAAAATTTATTTCACATTTTTTGTTTATAAATTGGATGACAAAAGCCAGATTTTTCTCTTTGTTTTTTATTACTGTCTTGTCGGTTTCACATGAACCTCATCCTCTGCCAACGTATTTTGTGTATTTTTGTCAACTCTGATAAGACCGTGGATATGATAACAGGATATTTTCTGAACCCTCAGACACATAGCCCACTATATGTACATTGGAGCGACTTGGATTGAAACTGATCATTGCTGTGGGCCAGGAAAAACAGGAATACATTTTAGGCCGAAGATCATATGACAGTCTGAACACAATATTTGAAGTATTTGGAGGGTGTAGCAACAGACAAAATTTTGTAAGGTATTCTGTGCAGATATTTAGCATTGGGTGCCCAATATGAGGTCACACAAATTCTGATAGGTGGATAAACTGTAAAAGTCACTTAGGGTCAGATGATATTGAGAGAGGAAGCAGAGGTGCCTTAAGCAGCATATAGGCAGGCAGAGCTCCAGTGAGAAGCGCCAATGTGGAAAAAGCATTTATGAAGCAGAACCTATGCTTACAGGAATGTAGGACACAGGCAGACTGTCAGATTAGAGGCTCAGACACAGAAGGAGGCATCGGTTTAATTAGAGATGCATCCAAGAACCAGGTTTAGGGAAAGTAAGTGGCTTGGATTTTGACATTGAATCACAATAGCAGAAACAAACCAGCAGCAGGATGCCCTCATTGTGAGTCTCAGAAAGCGGATGGCTTTACCTGCTTTAGACGGACAGGGTAGTTTCTGGAAACTGGAACCCGAATTGGCTGGCAATGCTGGAGATGCCCCAATTATACACAGAGATGCATTCTGGGCTAGGGCTAGGTAGGGCATTGGTCATTTACAGAGTTCAAGGTGACCCAATTAAAGGATCCGGGTCACAGTGAATATCCATGGAAGACCAACAGAAGGACACAGGGCATATGCAGGTGAAGAGAAATGAGGACCCGGAGCTAAAGGAAAAAACACAACATTTACTTATTTCACAATTTGTTTAAAAGATAAACTGATTTATTATAAAAAATAAACTAAGCACTTAAATCTAACAAAGTTACTTTACTTCCTTATCTAAAAGTAATCTGTATGTGCTCATTTCTTCGGTTCTATTCCCCCAAAATGAGTGGTCTACCTCAAACTTTACTATTCCCAGGTCACTACTGAAACAATTATCCTACGAATTCTTATTGAGTACAACATGGTGACATTCAGTTGTGGAGAAAGAAAAGTTGATTTCTAACAGACATTAAACTGATATTATGTTAATAAAAAGATGTGTATGTTAAGAGGAAAATTAACTTGTAAACTCAGAATTTTCTGTGCTATAAAAAAGATAGTATTGTAGGCCGGACGAGGTGGCTCATGCCTGTAATCCCAGCACTTTGGGAGGCCGAGGTGGGCAGATCACAAGGTCACGAGATCGAGACCATCCTGGTTAACATGGTGAAACCCCATCTCTACAAAAAATTAGCCAGATGTGGTGGTGGGTGCCTGTAGTCCCAGCTACTCGGGAGGCTGAGGCAGGAGAATGGCGTGAACCTGGGAGGCGGAGCTTACAGTGAGCAGAGATCCTGCCACTGCACACTCCAGCCTGGGTGACAGAGAGAGTCTCTTTCAAAAAAAAAAAAAGATGGTATTGTAAAGATGTCAAGTGTTAATGCCAATGATGAGACAGGAGGATGACTCTGCACGTGTTTCTGTGATTGAATCCTTGCCAACCTTTCCACTTGTTTTTATTTTTTGTCTTTTTTTTTTCCTTTTAGTGGAGAGTAGGGTCTTGCTCTATTGCCCAGGCAGGTCTTGAGCTCCTGGGCTCATGCTATCCTCCCACCTCTTCCTCCCTAAGAGCCGAGATTACAGGCATGAGCAAAACTTTCCTATCAATGTATCAAGACATAGCCATACATTTTTATAAACTTACACCTTGTAAGAATCCTGAAAAGGCATTTTTACACTTCTGCTATAAGAAAAGAAAGCCTATAAAATATTCTTCAATAGAATGATTTTCAGTGGAAATATCACAATAGATGAGGCAGTCTAAGCAATTCCAATACAATAGGGAGACAGGCTGCCTGAGAGTACCTAAGAGGAAATTTATTATGAAACAAGGTGGGCATTTTACAAGGAGGGAAGACATCCCCATCTCTGGGAATGCAAACATACAATTCCTGGTTTACGTTAGAAAGTTTTACTTTTATGTGTCTATTTTAAGCTTGAAAACAAATGTGTAACAACTGTAAAACATAAGGCACTTGGGGCCAAACGTGACAACATTCAGGAGAGGGCAAGTTTGGGATGTGTCTTTGTAGCACGGTAGTGCTCTGAAACCGAAACACCTCATACCTTCGTCTGTTTCAAGGTGAGGCTACCCTAAAAACAGGACATAAATCTTCATCCATTTCTCAAAGGGAGGAAGGTGGAAGGTACCACGATGACCATTGTAAGAAAAGACAGTGACACAAGATGATGCTTAATTGATGTACTCAATGTCAAAAAGCAAATCAGAGGTAGAGGTGGGCATATATTCCAGTCTCTTACAGTTTAATATGATGTTTTATCATCCTTGCTAACTGACCAACATGTATATCATCGCGAAGACGGAACTGTCAGTGTATGATGTTGTCGAACGTCCCACTGAAACCATTCTGTGCTTGGATTCTGTGGGAAGAAGCCAAGCATTCTGTGGCTGTAATGGGAGATTTGTTTAATAAGGGTCTGTGATCACCCGGGTGACCGCTGTCATGCCCTCAAATCCTACAGAGGTCATGTCAGTCTAGGACCAGCTTTTCCATTGATTTGAATAATTTCCTGCAAGGTTTAGTTTTGCCAATTATTTTTTCTTATTTGCATAATGAATTATTCTTTATATTTTGTGATGATCTGATAGTGGATTCACATTGTTATTTACTTTCATTTTTGGGTTTTTGTTTTGTTTTTGTTTTTGTTTTTGTTTGAGACGGAGCCTCACTCTGTCGCCCAGGCTGGAGTGCAGTGGTACAGTCTCGGCTCACTGCAACCTCTGCCTCCCGGGTTCAAGCAATTCCCTTGCCTCAGCTTCCCGAGTAGCTGGGATTATAGGCGCCTGCCACCATGCCCAGCTAACTTCTGTATTTTTAGTAGAGACGGGGTTTCACCACGCTGAGCAGGCTGGTCTCAAACTCCTGACCTCAGGCCATTTGCCCGCCTCGGCCTCCCAAAGTGCTGGGATTACAGGCGTGAGCCAGCATGCCCAGGCGACCTTGTTATTTACTTTCATCAAGTGGAACTAATTGAGGAATAAGTTGTTGGCCACCAGTACTTGGAGAAAGACAAAAGGACCTAGAGGAGGATGACATAAATAATGTAATTATGAGGATCCAACTCAAGGCTTACGACTTAAGTGTGAAATAAAATGAAGGCCAACAGATGGTATCATCAAATGCTATAAAATCTAAAATGTTATGATAGGAGCGATGACAGAATATTTTCCCATTCTTCTCTAGGGGTAATAAAAAGTGATTGTGATTGTATTAGTCAGTCATGGATGCATTGCATTTGCAAGGTTCATTTGTAGGAAGTTAAACAGCCTGGAGACCTGGACACCGTCTCAGGAAGAAAACACTGGGTAAGGGGTCACAGGTCATGCTGTTGCTGATTTTGATTTTTGTTATGTAGGTCATTTTTAATGATGTCGTTAAAAGAAAAAATGTTCTAAAATCGATTCAGATTCAAAATTGTTATTTTTCTCTGCTCCACAAATTCTGACATAAAAACATTTGAAGCCTATTTGTATTTCTACAACAAATGCTTTTTTTTTTCTTTTAAACCAAGTAAAAATTTCAGAAAACACTGATATGAAAATAATCCTGTCAATTAAATTCCAGTGCCAGGCAACTAGACCGAGGAACATGAAAACATACCAAGGCAATTGGGAATATTGAGCTTGAAATCTGCAAAGATCTGAAGTGATACAATTAGCACCATTCAATAGTAAATGCCAAGATTGAACACTCACCGTCAGATATTTTAAAAATGATGGAAGGTGGGGTGAAGGAAACGCCCCGTCCTGGGTCTCTGGGGTTAGATGTGGGCCTATTTTAACAGTGACGAAAAGTGGGGTGAAGGAAACTCACTCTACTGGGTCTCTGGGGTGGGGTGTGGGCCTATTTTAACAATGATGAAAGGTGGGGGGAAGGAAACTCCCACTCCTGGGTCCCTGGGGGTTAGATGTGTGTCTATTTTAACAGTGACGAATGGTGGGGGGAAGAAACTCCCCCTCCTGGGTCTCTGGGGGTTGAATGTGTGTCTATTTTAACAGTGAAGAATGGTGGGGGGAAGGAAACTCCCACTCCTGGGTCTCTGAGGATTAGGTGTGGGCCTATTTTAACAGTGACCAAAGGTAGGGGGAAGGAAACGCCCCTTCCTGGGTCCCTGGGGATTAGATGTGTGTCTATTTTAACAGTGACGACTAGTGGGGTGAAGGAAACTCCCCCTCCTGGGTCTCAGGGGTTAGGTGTGGCCTATTTTAACAACGATGAAAGGTGGGGTGAAGGAAACTCCCCCTCCCGGGTCTCTGGGGTTGGGTGTGTGTCTATTTTAACAACAATGAAAGGTGGGGTGAAGGAAACTCCCCCTCCCGAGTCTCTGGGTGTTAGATGTGTGTCTATTTTAACCATGATGAAAGGTGGGGTGAAGGAAACTCCCCCACCTGGGTCTCTGGGGTTGGGTGTGTGTCTATTTTAACAATGATGAAAGGTGGGGTGAAGGAAACTCCCCCTCCTGGGTCTCTGGGGGTTAGATGTGTGTCTATTTTAACAATGATGAAAGGTGGGGTGAAGGAAACTCCCCCTCCTGGGTCTCTGGGGTTAGATGTGTGTCTATTTTAACAATGATGAAAGGTGGGGTGAAGGAAACTCCCCCTCCTGGGTCTCTGGGTGTTAGATGTGTGTCTGTTTTAACAATGATGAATGGTGGGGTGAAGGAAACTCCCCCTCCTGGGTCTCTGGGGTTGGATGTGGGCCTATTTTAACAATGATGAAAGGTGGGGTGAAGGAAATTCCCTCCTGGGTCTCTGGGGTTGGATGTGGGCCTCTTGGCTCTGCTACTTACCTGCTGCTTCATCTGTCATATCCCAGGTCATGTGTTTCTTCTGTAAACACAACGTTGTTTTTGAAAACTCTTAGTACTGAAATGCTATAAAATTTTTTTAAAAAATCAAAGAGTATTTTAACTGTTGGAGAGTGTTTAAAGTTTTCTTTTGATGGTTTTAGGCAAGTTTCCCTTTTAACTCCTTCTAAAAATGGTGTGAGTAAGATCATGGGTGTGGAGTATGTGAGAGAGAGAGAGAGGGGTTCAGAATGGACCAGCGTTTCTGGCTTTGATGACTATTAGTGACTTGGGAAAATGGGGAAGGGTAGATTATTGAAGGTAAAAATAAATAGAGATAAAATTTTATTTAGAGGTAAGACTTGGGAAAATGGGGAAGGGTAGATTATTGAAGGTAAAAATAGAGAGAGGTAAGATTTTATTAAGGGTGCAAGAATGTTGAGGTCCCTTGTCATTTGTGTTAGGTTTTTAATCTTGCTGTGATGTGAACCATAGATTATAGATGCCCACGAAGTTAGAAGTTGCCCATTGGACATCATACAACCTACTAATAAGACAATGTTAGACAAAAACACAATGTTAGAGGTGGAAAGATAAATGACAGATGTTTTTAAAACTGCATAATTTATAGGACAGTGATGACTTGAATTGTAAATGAGATGAAGAAAGGAATAAACCATGACTGTGAGGTTTAGGTTCTGATGAGGAAGGCTTCAGTGTCATTAAGTTCCATAGGAAAACAAAAACAAAAACAAAAAAAAGCAAAAAACAATTCAGAGACTTATCTAGGAATCACAGCACTTCCTAAGTCAGGCATTTGCCATTATGTTAACCAGAAATCAATTTCCTTTGTTAAGAATAAGGAAATGATTTTGTAAGCAGACTGGACAGGAGAAATGCCTCCTTGGTGATGTTTGAGGTTTGCGGGTTAAGTACGGGTACTCGTGATATGCCCTGGATGGGCAACCTTGCCCCACTGGCTGTGGACTCCACTGCCATGAAGTCTGACACCTCCATAATGCAACCACACCTGGAGGCCAGGTGACCAGGGGCGTCCCTACAACTTTGGTCACTTTACTGGAACCTGGTGCATTATACATTCTGGCCAATGAAACCAACTGAGGGAACAAGACAAGAAAGTTCCATAGGTAGTTATGTATGTGCATGGATTAGCTCTCTCTTCTGGAAACTTCCAGAACCCTTAAGGCAATTTAGCGTAAAACAAGATCTATATGAAATAGGCCTATTTGGAAGAAGAAATTCTTTATCTGTGCTCTTAGTACAAGATTTGAAGGAAATACTAAGAAATTGCTCATTCTTATATATGTTCTTATTAATTTGAATGTTCAGTCATTTAACTAATACTGTAAAATGTAACAGACCTAAAGGAATAAAATGGCTCTAAGTGAAAATATAAAAATAAAATGATTCATCAGGAGGTGAAGGAAAATGTTCCGCTCCTGCTGGAAATCTGTGCTGTTATTCATGTTCCTGGCCATGAAATGTATTGAATATATTTGTCAGTTCATTTATCATCCTCAAACTCATTATGACCAAAATAACAGTATTTGGTATTCATAACACTGAAGATGTCTGCACTGACTTTCATATATTATGTAAAATAATCCATGGAAATGTTTATTATGTAAATACGTCACCACACATTTCCACACTGATATGTAATGAAAGCTGATGGAATTCCCTCTTCAGAAAAACACTTTATGAAACTGTGTAGGTTCCATTTTAGGTTTGCTAAATAATACTGAATCCATTCTGAAATTCCCCTAATTGCATATTTCTGGTTGAGTGCTATTTTTAAATCCTCCCAAATTTTGTACAAATCAGAAAGTGTTAAAATTTGAAACACATTTATTTTCACGATTTTGAAAATCAGCTCACTTATTTTTATTTAGAAAATACAGTTAACTTTGTGTTTTTATAACACTTTGAAATCACTAGAAGCTTACTACTTTATTTGAATCAAAAGCACTTACAGACACATTGTCTAGAATTAAAATAAGCACCAGTTAAATATAGTAATATGCATACATTTCACTGTTTCCACTTTCACTGCCAGACTCAGAGGATACAGTAAACAATGCATGTTCTCTGGGCTACCCGTGCGTTCAGGGAGGTTCATTTCTAGACGAAGTAATGGGGTATTTGCATGGGGAAACTTGGAAGAATTAGATACACGCAGAGCACCTGTCATTGCCTACTTGTGGTGGGATTCACAGGAAATTCAGGGAGGAGGAAGAGCCTTCAGGAGGAATATGCAGGGTAGGGTAGGACAGCTGCAGCCGTAAGGGAGCTTGATCTTAAAGGGCAGGGAGGATCTGGACAATACTACGGCACAAAGCATCATGAGCCCTGGTGCAGAGGGCATCACCAGATGGCAGGATCCTTAGAAGACTGGGACCAGGGTGAATACTCACCATGGTGTCTTGGCGACCCGTTAGTCAGCAACAACAGCAATCTTGTGTGCAGTGAGGAAGGCTTAGACTAAGCACTGGAAGCTTAGAAAGCAAAGGATTCGACCCACCTGATGGTGGGTGCAGGGGGCTTTGCACGCCTTCGGTGGCTAGGTTGACAGGAGCAGTGGAAAGAAGGGAGGCAAAGGTGGAAGAGATTGAGAGTTGCGTGTCTTTCAGATGAACTGGGAAATACAAAAGCGAGGCCATTTTTGGGGAAGAGATGGAACTCACGGCCTTTATTTCCAAAAATGTTGGTTACGTACTCCATTTTGCTTTGTATTTGTATTTTGCTACTGAACGCTTTACGGTCAGTGAGGTGCAGAATATGCATGTCAGGGGCAAAAGTGTGCGGCAAGCAGGCGTTGTATCCCCATAGGCAGGATGACCCTGCGCCCTCGCTCTGCAGGCGGGTGGCTTAGGTTATTAATGCCTCAGGAATAAGCCCAGAGAGGATGGGCTGGCACCTGCAAGCCACAGTTAGGCTGATGGATGGCAGTCACCCACTCAGCAGAAATTCTTTCAAAGAATGAGATATGGAAAAGGAGGAACTGCGCTCTTGCGTCCCAATGCAGCGGTGGTCTAGTTGAGGCTGTCACTTCTCTGGAATTGACCACCTGGCTCCACTGCTCAAGGTGTTGAATTCTTACATATGGTGGGACAATTTCTTTGTATTTATTAGTTGTAGAATAAAAAAAGTATCAGCCTATGAGTCATAACAGCAGCAACAAATTCAGGTATTGTTGATAATCCCTTATATTTACATGGATTTTACTTGTACGAGGAGCTTATCGTGTTTTCATAAATCCTTTAGTTTTTCTTGTAAAAATCGCTACAGCATGGGGGAGCCAAGCAATAAGCAGTGCCCTTCACAGCTAAGATGTGAAGGAGGCACGAGGCAGGGGCAGGGTGTGTGAGGGCTGAGTCCGGGACAGAATTTGGGAAGAACTCAGTTGTCTCCCATTTCTTCTCATCCTCCGTCCCTCTCCAAACTAGTGCCAGGGCCACGGGCCCCACTGCTTAGTTGGACTCTTATAATCGTCATTATTTTGTAGGTGATTTTCAGGATTATATGGGACAGCACAGACAAACCTGCCTGATGAATTGTGTGGCACAGAGCATGTCTTCTGTGTGCGCTGGTGGCAGCCCCTCTATGCTGGAGTTCATGGTAGTGATGAGGTTCTGGGCCAGACACTCCTGAAGTTGGGGCCCGGTCTATTCACTTGGTTTCTAAGCCACTGGTAGAGACTTAAGTCTAAGGTGATAACAATAAATTAACCAGAGCTGCTATTTCTCCATTAAAATAAAAGTTTTTTTAATGAGTCATCAATTTGATATTCCCATCTAAGAGCAAATAAATATAAATATAAGCATTACTGAGATTTAGACAATGAAAATTAAAATTATGTGCTGAGAAACCTACACTACTAATGAAGAATTACTTTAAAAATAGCCCGGCTGACGTGTTCCTAATGTTCTTCTGACACTTTTCTTACCATTTTTATCAATTTAGTTTTTCTTCAGCAATCAGGCAAAAAAAAACAAATAATCTGAGAATTCTCCCATCTTTAAAAATAATCATATAATTCAATTTCACAGAAACTCTCATGTTTCTTTTTAAAAGTTATTGTTGAATGTGTGCGGAAGTGTTTGAAAGCATAGAATTATATTTCAATATAATTTAGATACATTTTAATTATGGTATTTGGGATATATTGGTAGAACTATCTTTTACTTGCCACCTTTTTCTATATATTGGCTCTATATTAATATTTAATTACTCAAGCTATCAAACTCTGTTTTCAATTATGTTTAATTTGAATCTTATATTGACTGACATAAAATTATACCAAATTCTTTGTGTATTGCAAATATTTTCATTTGTACTTTGCCATGAAGACTCTGCAGTGGTTCTAATCCCTGTGGTTAAATCCTAAAGAACCAACACTAGTTAATCAAATGCTCGGGATAGTCAAGATATTTTTAAGCAATTAGTAGTTTTTGGAGCTAAAAACAGAAATATGTGAGTTTCATTTTTTTGACCATTTATTCCTAGATTTTTTTTAAAAGCTAGGCCTTTTCAGCAAGGAAGTTACTTCTTCAGTTATTATCTGGATGCAAGACACATAAACATCCCCAGTTTGTTTTGCAGTATGTTCTGAGGATAATCAAATTCCATTCTGTGTAAGGGAGTGATCCATAGGAATGGCTGAATCTGTGTTGTTGTGTTTCTGGGTCTCCCTTTGTATAAATGCACATATGTGTGTGTGTTTGTATGTTTTTATTATTTGTAAAGCTGAAAGCAGCACCTGCCATCAAGCATGACCTGTGTTAGTTTACAGTCACCCACCTGCCCCGTGGAAAGCACAGGGGGCTCCTTTGGAAGCAGCTGCATTTATTTCTTGGTGTGTGGCTGTCTGTGTGTGTGGGCTGCCCTGTGCTCGGATCTGGCTTCCACAGAAACCCTGCAGAAGGAACCGTGACACTCCAGCTAGGGAACTCCTGTGACCACCACCCAAAAAGCAAATGCTTTCTTACTCTCGTCATGCACCTGCTATAATACCTCCAATTAAACTCTGAGTCCCAAAGGGCAAAACCATGCTTATACATTGAAACACAGCATTGTGTCACGAAAGATACTGCATATTAAGCGCTTAATAAGTATGTGTTGAATTAATGAATGGGCATCCTTTTAATAGGGAATATGTTAACTTTTATATGTTATCTTTTATCTACACAGACTATGAGTTTCTGGTGAGCAAGGACTGAGGTCAGTTAATTTTGTATCTTCGGCGTCTAGCAAAATATCTGAAGCCGAGCAGGCACTTCATATGCTAAGTGATTGCATTAATGAATCAATGCGGTAGGCCAGAGGATATGCTACTCCAGATTTATGTTCTCAATTAGAGAACTACAGAGATTTTCTATTTTTTCATTACTTTTTTCATTTTAACACCTATTAAAAAATTGGAACAAAAGCAAAACATTATAGTAAGAAGTTATACTATGAAAGATATTTCATAAATAAAAATAGAATATTACAAGCCTAAGGTACTATATATAATTTACTAGCTTCATCATCAGGAAAGAAATCATAATTAAAAATAAATTCAGGGAGAAGGCCAAATGTGATAGGTCACGCTTGTAATCCCAACATTTTGGGAGGCCAAGGTGGGCAGATCACTTGAACCCAGGGTTTTGAGCCCAGCCGGGGAAACCCTGTCTCTACAAAAGATACAAATATTAGCTGGGCATGGTGGCCCACATCTGTGGTCCCAGCTACTCAATAGGCTAAGGTGGGAGGATCGCTTGAGCCTGCTAGGTCAAGGCTGTAGTGAGCCAAGATGGCGCCACTGCACTCCAGCCTGGGTCACAGAGCAAGACCTTGTCTCAAAAAATAACATTAAAAGTTCACTTATACAGTAGCAACTTTATTTTACATGAAATTTTACTAAACACAAAATTTATAACATTTTAAAGTTAAAATGTGTACAAGGCATGATATTGTGAACACATCAAGTAATGATACCAAATAAACGTAGTATTAACCAGATAACTGTAGGCTGGTTCTACCTGACAAAAGGAGCCATCCTTACACAATCACACAGAAGTTCCTATTAAACAAAACAAAACAAAATTAAGTCATTCTGGGCTTTTTATTTTTTAACTATTCACCCCTTGCTATACAAAGAAGTGAGTACAACAAAACAAACACTTAATTGGGAAAAAATAGAAAACGTAATAGAAAACAGGCACCAGAACAACAGAGAATACAAGTCCACACTTGTGTGATTGAGTGTCAATGTTGACTCATACTGTCTATGCCTATAGCTTGGGTAATTATTGCGATTACTATTTGTTAGGATGTCTAATTTCCCTGTGAAACTCCATAAGGACTGAGATTGTCTCGCTCTGTGCTCCTCATGCTCCTAACATATCCAAAGCATGTTTATTTTTAATTATTTCATAACAGGTGTTATCAATGAAAGATGTATTCCTTTTCTGGGTTAATACAGGGGATCTGCTATGAGAAGATCAGAATCATTATGTGACAACAATGCTGATGATTCTCCTCTTCCTCCCTCACCTCTCCCATGAGCTGCATTTTTCTCTGGTGTCCTCTCTTCATCACAGACCCCATCTATCATCTACTGAGTCTTCTGTGTCCACTCTCACTCAGGCTCAATTTGCAAAATAGTATTTGTGCATGCTTCATCCACGCACACACTCTTGCCTCATCCCCTCCCCACATCCACTGACACAGGCTCCTTTCCAGCACTAAATAAATACTTTTGCAGATTTTCCTGCTTGTCCTTTCTTTCTTCTCACCCATGTCCATATTGCACATTGCTTCTGATTATCTCTCTGAAATACGAATATACTTGTGTCAGTTTCCTGTGCAGTCTTCTCCGTTGCCTTCCCCCCACTGCACGCTGAGTTGGTCTCCACTCCTTGGTGCTGCAGCCGAGTCCTTTCCAGTCTTTCCCGTGACCTTTCCTGTCTTCCCTTCAATCCCTGTCTCCATCACAACCGCCACACGTTTAAAAGGAAGCATCAGCATATACAAATGTTCCTGTAAATTGGTGTTCCCAACTGCCATGCGATTTGAAGCCTTTTCCACCTGGACTGTTCTCCCTCTGAGTGGATGGCGTCCAGGAGGCCCCTAGACCTGCTCAAACCCTCTCCCGCAAGGCTCACTGAACCCCTCCAGCTACCAATATACTAGTTTCCTTTGTCCCTCTCAACCTTCACGCAAACCATAGCATTCATCGTGTTGTTTTATAAGTATTTATTTCCTATCTGTCATTCATTAGACAGGGGAAGATAGGAGCCGTTTTATTTTACTCTTCCCACCATGCCCCAAAAAAGTTCCTGATAGATTTGAAAACATTTTTTTTACAGCTCATTATTTTCCTTTATTTTTATTGGCAAGTAATTATTACACATATTCATGGGGCACAGGGCACATGGTGATGTTACAATACATACAGTATATAGTTAGCACCTAATTGTAAGTTCTTACCACCTTGTACAAGTTAGAACAATATTTGCCAACTGGATGTATTTAAAGATGAATTTAGAGTGAAATTATTTCAGTTCATCCATGTAGGTGCCTGATCCTGGTCTTGCCCCAAGTTCCCCCACTCTGAGTTTTAAATATCCTCAACAGAGAACATACGTGCATAGTGGTAAAAAAATCAGTGAGAAAGTGAATAATTTGAATTATTTCACTGAGACGTCTCAGAATTGATATTAACTATTTGACCTGCTGGAAGCTCTGCACAAGATCAAAGTACAACCAGCATTAAATTCACTTGGGATTAATGTAATGTATTTAAAATTATAAAATGTTTCAAGATTGACTCATTAAATTCTTAGGTATGATTAACTTGCTTTATGATTTATTAAAAGTTTGCTTGATAAAAAATAAGACAGTTCCAAAAAATAGATAATTTGGCTATCTGATTTTCATTCTGGACATTTACAGGCTTTTTGATGTTTTACCTTAAGTTCAGAAGTTTACATTTCTGTTTAAACATTGTCAACAACCTGTTTGCTATTGCTATTTTTTAAAAATGTGGAGTATCTTACCATGGGGCTGCTCATAGGATTACAAAATAATGTCAGCAAAAACTTAATATATGGGAAAAATTGAATGAATTAAATGAAAATAGTAGCTAACAAGAGGACTCAATTTGAAAACAATAGCATCTGTAGCTTAAAAAACCATAAATAATTTAAAAGATAGTTTAAAAATCACACACACACACACACACACACACTCACTTCACCTAGAATTTCATTCTTGAATAAAGAGAGATGTATTGTAAAACATGGAACAATCACACATTTCAGGAAATAATCACACATTTCAGGAAATTCATTATTAATGAACTTTCCTTCTCAAGTGAACTATAAAAAATAAATTTAACCAATTACCTTTGAAACTCCCTTCCTATTCAGATGAATCCAAATAGAGTTAATAAAAAGCAATATTAAGTTTTTAATGCAGTTCTTTACACTGAAGGAAATGGTGTGAAAACACTGTCCCTTTTTTTCACATGAGAGTCATTCTTAAAGAGATTTTTGCCAAAGAAGTACATTATCCCAATTGAAATGTCTTAGGTAAAATTAACAGATAGATAGTATGTTTTTGTAAATACTTCAAGCTTTTTTCAGTTGCTCATGAGAAAATATATCAGAGATTCAAAAATGACCAGTATTCCTTTTCTTCAGTTATGTTTTCAGAGCTCACCTGAGCATGAAACTACTTTCTCAAGAGTTGCTCAGATAGAAGCTGAAAAAACTCACATTACTGTGAGCTCGTTGTTCAGCCTAATGTATAAAATGGATTAAGTCTGGAGCCGGTTCTCTTGAAACACAAGTGCTTTATTTGGAAGATAAGAACTAATCCGAATACTTGAAAGCTAAAAGCAAGTCTCATAGAACTCTAATATTGTTAGAAGATACATAGGATTTAATTCTTAAGAATATTAAGACTGCGTAATTCATGCAACATATATGGAGAAGTAATTTTCATCAGCTGAATGTTTGGAGCTTGTTTTGATTAGAACATTTTGTTCGTAGTATTTTGGCTGTGCTTTGACTTAAAATGAAATCACTAGAAAACAAAGAAATAGAATTACTAAATACATTCAAGTTTTGATTGTAATAATACTTAATAGTGCTTTGACACAAATAATGTGATTTAGTCTTTTTTAAAGTTTCTAGAGCATAAAGCAAATACAGAACCAGTATTTGTGCCCTGAATAATTGCAGACTAGTGGCTTCAAGATAGAAAAGGATACCTTCTGTATGTTTTTAAAGTTACTACTCTTCAGCAGGCTTAAAATTGATCAGTCAAAAGTCTCTTAAATTCACATTAAAATGGAAATATCTCTATTTGGAAGAATATCTTTGTAGAATTAAACATATCCTTTAAAAACTTGAGATTTATTTTTTATTTTTTTATTATACTTTAAGTTTTAGGGTTTGTTACATATGTATACATGTGCCATGTTGGTGTGCTGCACCCATTAACTAGTCATTTAACATTAGGTATATCTCCTAATGCTATCCCTCCCCACTCCCCCCACCCCACAACAGGCTCCGGTGTGTGATGTTCCCCTTCCTGTGTCCATGTGTTCTCATTGTTCAATTCCCACCTATGAGTGAGAACATGAGGTGTTTGGTTTTTTGTCCTTGTGATAGTTTGCTGAGAATGATGGTTTCCAGCTTCATCCATGTCCCTACAAAGGACATGAACTCATCATTTTTTATGGCTGCATAGTATTCCATGGTGTATATGTGCCACATTTTCTTAATCCAGTCTATCATTGTTGGACATTTGGGTTGGTTCCAAATCTTTGCTATTGTGAATAGTGCCGCTATAAACATACGTGTGCATGTTTCCTTATAGAAGCATGATTTATAATCCTTTGAGTATATACCCAGTAATGGGATGGCTGGGTCAAATGGTATTTCTAGTTCTAGATCCCTGAGGAATGGCCACACTGACTTCCACAATGGTTGAACTCGTTTACAGTCCCACCAACAGTGTGAAAGTGTTCCTATTTCTCCACATCCTCTCCAGCACCTGTTGTTTCCTGACTTTTTAATGATTGATTGCTTGCCATTCTAACTCGTGTGAGATAGTATCTTATTGTGGTTTTGATTTGCATTTCTCTGATGGCCAGTGATGATGAGCATTTTTTCATGTGTCTTTTGGCTGCATAAATGTCATCTTTTGAGAGGTGTCTGTTCACATCCTTCACCCACTTTTTGATGGGGTTGTTTTTTTCTTGTAAATTTGAGTTCATTGTAGATTGTGCATATTAGCCCTTTGTCAGATGAGTAGATTGCAAAAATTTTCTCCCTTTCTGTATGTTGCCTGTTCACTCTGATGGTGGTTTCTTTTGCTGTGCAGAACCTCGTTAGTTTAATCCGATCCCATTTGTCAATTTTGGGTTTTGTTGCCATTGCTTTTGGTGTTTTAGACATGAAGTCTTTGCCCATGCCTATGTCCTGAATGGTATTGCCTAGGTTTTCTTCTAGAGTTTTTATGGTTTTAGGTCTAACATTTAAGTCTTTAATCCATCTGAGATTTCTTAAAACATGGAAACATTCTTTTCTGAAATAGTGCAGAATTAACATCATAGAATTTTATGTTGTCATTTCAGAATTCTCCTATTACACATCAACTTATTTTACCAATATTCAAAAACAGTGTTGACATTTTTAGGAAACAATGATTATATTCTAGTCTTTAAACACACAGCAAGTAAAGCTCAATTGAAATGTACTTCATGCAATTTGCAGAGAGGGAAACAGCAGGCTAGGCTGTATCCTAACGAATGTGGATAAAGTAACAGCCTAGGGGTCAAAGTGTCTGAAACACCAGATTGAAGTCTAACTGCCTTTGAGAACCTGAGAGATGCTGACATGCTATGGCTCTAAGGGCACAGTTTAACGGTGGAGGCAGCACTCTTCTCCCTAGCAGGCGACTAAGCTGGTTCACGGCGCAAGTGACACGAAGTAGAAGCTTCAGATTTCTAGGGATGTTTCTCTAGTCCTTCAAGGTATTGATGGCTGTGATTCCAATGCTACTTCCCATTGTAAAGGCCTATGATTCTCCCAGCAACTGTGTGTGAACCATCAAATCCTGCGAGGAGCTTTGAGAGAACAAAGCTCTCTTCAGTCTACTGAAAATTGGAAAACTGATCTCTAGAATGGCCAAATACTTTCAACTTTCTGACAGGAAAGAGGAATGTATTTTATAAAAAGACATCACACAAGCCTAGAGGCTTTAAGTTATAGAGCTTTTTACAAGATAATAAATTTAATGATGCTGTCAAGGTCTTAAGTGATCTTTTGCAAAAACAAGAAAAGGCATCAGAAAAAAAGGAGACAGCTGGTCATATAAAGAGAAAACTACGCTGCCATAAATAACTTGGCTTAATTCTTCTGTATGACAAGGTGTAGTTTAAGCAGAAAGAAAAACTTTTGATATTGAATGATTGATAGAAAAAGCAATAAAACATATTTCTGTACAAAATGCAACCCAAGTAAAGTTTAGTAGACATTTTAATGGATACATCTTTTTTCTTTGCTTGTTTTTTTTGGAGAAGAGTGGAAAGAAACATTACAAAACAAAGCTTTAATGCAAGTTTTAGGGTAGAGGAAAATGTTTCTTCTTAAACTAATTTTAAAATAAGCCTATTTTTGGATTTTAGAACTTTGTTAACCTTTTTTGATTGAAGTCTTTAAAAGCCATGATTTCTGAACATAGAGGCATATTCTGGATAACGTTTAAAGCATTAATAGCTATAAACTACTTGTAGAGCTTATGGCTATAAACTACTGAAACAATTTGTAAGTCCCACAGGAAAATGAATGTTATTACACATGTCTCCAGTGAAGAAAATCTCTTATGATTGATAAACGCTTCTGTACAATCAGAACATAATTTATTGTCAAAATGAACACAGCCCACAACTTATGATGGTTCACTTACAATTTTTCAACTTTATAATGATGTAAAAGTAATACACGTTCAGTAGAAAGTATACTTTGGGCACCCATGCAACCATCTGTTTTTCATTTCCTGTACAGTATTCAATACTAGCACAAATCGTCTAGCATAAAGCTTGTTTTGTAAGAAAGTGTTGACTCTCTAGCTGATTAGACTCATGCTTATAATTCCAGCACTTTCGGAGACCGAGGCAAGCAAATCACTTGAGGTCAGGAGTTTGAGACAAGCCTAGACAACGTGGTGAAACCCTGACTCTACTAAAAATACAAAAATTAGCTGGGTGTGATGGCTCGCACTTATAGTCCCAGCTATTCAGGAGGCTGAGGCAGGAGAATCACTGGAACCCAGGAGATGGAGGTTGCAGTGAGCCGAGATCATGCCACTGCATTCCAGCCTGGGCAACAGACAGACTGCATTTCCAAAAAAAAAAGTTGTTTGTTATTAGTAGTGGGGAGGACTATCTCATGTCAACAATTTCTTATAAAATAAATAGGCTTTGTGCTAGATGATTTTCCACAACTATAGGCCAAGGTAACTGTCCTAAGCATATTTATGGTAAGCTAGGTGAATTTAAGACATTTGGAAAGTTAGTTAGGTATATTACATTAATTTTCTGCTTAAGGTATTTCCCACTCTTAATGGGTTTATTGGGACGTAACCTCATTTGTTAAGTTGAGCAGCCTGTGTAGGCATCTTGACCACTTCTTAGTCCAGGCTTTCATCATCCCCAGCAGATGTGTTTCAAAGCTCAGTTTAGAAGCATTACGTGCAATATTCCACCTCTTTTTAAAAACTTTTTTTAAAACTCCAGATTTCTTTTGCCCCTTGAAAAACGAGAAGTTCGGGTCACATTGGGTGTGGTTTGTTAAGGTGGATACCTCCTGGGTGCTGTGTGCAGAACCCCACAGTTTCCTGGCCCCGCTGCCATTCACAGCTTTGTTCTTCACGGACAGGACCTGGATGCCCTGTTAGCATGGGCGGCCCTCACCCCTCAAAAAGATTTTTAAGTTTTCCCAGGATCCTGTTCCAGTGGTACTGATCATAGGGATAGATGCTGAACTCAAAAGTTTTTTACACCCCGATTTTGTGTGCCTAATGGTTATTTCCAATTGTATGTTCCAATGACATTGGATAAGCAGCATACCTAATGTAAATTCAAGATAGCGCAAGATTTTGGAAGATTGTTTGTTATTAATAGGGAGGTGGACTCCAAGTGTGGCCAGGGAGAATCATCACCTCCAACAAGTCATTCTGCCTCTAGTTTGCTGGTGGTCATCCCCAATGCTGGGCAGGACTGCCTTCTAAAGACTTGTTCAGATGCTGTCACTTCCAAACCCGCAAACCCAGTAACACTACAACAATAACAACAGTAAAGACTTCTGCTTCTTTTTTCCTCTCTGCGAAAACAGAAATGAGCACTGAATAATCTGTAATAATGATGGATTTTGTCATACATGATATTGAATGTCTTCCTTTCTGCCCTGTCTTCTTGGCATTATGCAGTGAGATGAAGGTCATCAAATATTTGAATGACCCTGAAACCGGAGGTGATTGATTGAAACCATCCCCCTAATTTCTACCTCCCCTTTGTGGACATTTAGCATATCCCTTTGTTTTGCACCAAGATGGATACACTCTTCTGTTCTTGAATTCCAGGCATCTGAATTAAAATTATTGGTGTCTCTTAAATAGATCAGGGTTATCGTAAAAATAATAATGTCATGGTTGGTAAAGACTGACTCTTTGTGGAAGGAAACTTTATGGAAGGAAATTTTCTTAGTCACTGAGTGCAAAGGATCAAGCATGTCCTCTTTCTCCTATACAAAGCTGCAAATCTCAATCCTGATTAGTCAGACATCAGCAGGGTAAAATTATATTGTGAAGTTAAGAATACATTTTCCTCAATGGAAGGGCATCTCAGACTTCACATTGACAGGAGGATGTAGCAGAAGTCACAAATTCATTTCAAAATTTAATTTCTTTTTGAGAAAAGAAAGCATTCAAAGTTTGGTGGAAATAGAAGGAAAGAGACCATGTGGTCCCTCAAGTTTCCAGCTCTCCCTTTTACAATTGTCAAAATTTGCATCATGATATGAATAGAAATATGTTACTGTAAGACTGTCTTTCACAGATGGCCTTAAAATATTGCCTCACATAAAAGGAATATACAGCTCTCAGTACTGCAGAAGCTAAATCTTCATTTCTGTCATCTATTTCTTTGAGTTTAAGAGCTTATTTTGATGAGGTCATTATAATGATTCATTTCTGGAGTTTCTGTTGTTGTGTGGATTTCCTCAAGAGCCTCATAACCATGCACCATCAGGAGTGTGGTCGGCAGTAATTCAGGAGCGCCAGTTTTTTTTTCTTTTCCCATGAAGTTGACATCTTGGAGTTTGGAAGAAGTTGTCGGGAAGGTGGGCGGGTCTTGACAATGGGCTGGAATAAGTGCTGGCTGTCAGGATTCTGCAAAGCACCCTGGCAGTGCCGATAGGTGGCCCCTCTTCCTTGGAGGTCTAGGTTGTGACAGAGGGGCAAAGAGGCAGCAGAGTATCCCGTTCCTAGAGGTCCTAGAGGGCATTGGGGCTCACCAGAGAATCCAGGGTGCAGACTGGAGGCTTGGACTGACAGATGAAGTTGTGGAACTCCGGAAAACAAGAGCTTGAGGGGCCGGGCGCAGTGGCTCACGCCTGTAATCCCAGCACTTTGGGAGGCTGAGGGGGTGGATTGCCTGAAGTCAGGTATTCGAGACCAGCCTGGCCAACATAGTGAAACCCCGTCTCTACTAAAAATACAAAAAATTAGCTGGACATGGTGGCAGGCACCTGTAATCCCAGCTACCTGGGAGGCTGAGGCAGGAGAATCACTTGAACCTGGGAGGTGGAGGTTGCAGTGAGGCAAGATCACGCCATTGCACTCCAGCCTGGGCAACAAAAGCAAAAAAAAAAAAAAAAAAAAACTTGTAAGTAGGGAGGAACAAATAAGATGACCGAACTTCAAGAAATCACAAATGGGTAACAAATAGCCCCAGTACAGACCCATCTTTCTTTTCCCCTTTGTAAATTCACAATCTCCTTTTTTCTCCCTACCCTTCAAGGAGCATTTAGCAACCTTGTTTGTTTCATCTCTGTTTTAAGGCAGATGTCCACCCTTGAGTTCTGTTCATTCCTTGCCTTTCTCTCTTGCAGGTTTTGATCTGGTAAAATGTGAGGATCCGGGCATCCCTAACTACGGCTATAGGATCCGTGATGAAGGCCACTTTACCGACACTGTAGTTCTGTACAGTTGCAACCCGGGGTACGCCATGCATGGCAGCAACACCCTGACCTGTTTGAGTGGAGACAGGAGAGTGTGGGACAAACCACTACCTTCGTGCATAGGTGAGTGTGGAAGCAGTCATACCATTGTGCAAAAGCCAGGCCTTAGGGTGCTTGCACCATGTTGCATTGACTTCCTTTATTGGAAAAGAGGAGGAATTTTATCACACTTTCCAGTGTGAGTTTTATGTATTCTGAGATTTGCACGTGTCTGTGAGTGTGTGTTTTCAGCTATGAAAGACAGTTTTTCTAGTATTCTGTTATGGAGACTATAGGTACAGTGTTATTATTAGAATTATCACATATTATTAGAATTATCACATGAGTGTCTTATTGCTTTATGCTCTCAACTTTAATTGCATGGAGGATAAAGACTTTCCACAGAGGTAATGATTTGGAAGAAATATTGAAACGGTCAGGAGAGAGAGATGATGGTGATTCTTTTTCTCTATGTATATAATGCAGACATAATGGCTTTGGTTTTGAAAAGTAGCTAAATAGAAACATGTGATGCCTGAAGCTGAACGTTCCCATCTCTCTGTGTCTTCTACAGCGGAATGTGGTGGTCAGATCCATGCAGCCACATCAGGACGAATATTGTCCCCTGGCTATCCAGCTCCGTATGACAACAACCTCCACTGCACCTGGATTATAGAGGCAGACCCAGGAAAGACCATTAGGTACTTGTTTTATTTTGGTTTCAGTGATTTGAGAAAAGAGATATGCCTTCTATTCTTGTAGCAGAGATAGTGGTACACCAAATATCCATGGTTAAAGTTTCTGAACTAAAGAAGAAAAGGTAAAGCTGTAGCTAAAAGTTTTGTTGGCTCACTTGCTTACTTTGCTGTTGCCTTGAAACCATTAATTAAGTTCTATATAGTAAAGCCAAAATGAGAGTGTATCAGTTAGCTTCTGCTGCATAACAAACTATCCCCCAAATTTAGTAGCTGAAAAAAAACATCATGACTTCGTGGGTTGCCTGGGCTGTTCTGATCTGCGTGAGACTGCCTGGGGATGAGCAGTCCAGGATGACCTTCCTTAGGTGTGAGGGCCTCAGCTGGGATGGTTGGGAAAGCAGGAGCCCCTGCACACCAGGCTTCTGTTCCTGCAGCAGGCTAGTCACGGTGGGAGGGTTGTAGCAGCAAGGGATGAACAAATTTCCAACTTGTGCTTACATTACACTTGCTAAGGTGCCCTTTGTCAAAGCAAGTCTCATGGGCTAGGCAAGACTCAAGATATGAAGAAATACACTCTACTGTTCTTTTAATAGGAAGAGAAGCAAAGTCATATTTTAAAAAGACTTGTGTGCAGGGATGGGAGCAATGTGTGTCATTTTGCAATTATACCAAAGTAACTTTGAGGTAGACCAAGAAAGTACTCTAAAGTAACACATATAAAAGAAAATCATTGCAAATTTCAGAAAATGATGTGAACATTTAAACAAAAAGTGTTCTATTCCAATAGTGAGTTCTGAGTTATGATGATGAGTTATTTAAACCAACAAAAAGTAATATTTTTAAAGTAAGCTCTGTAATATTTTTAAAGTAAGCTCTTGGTGATCTACTCAGAAATCTGTCTCCAAAACCATAGCACATAAGGCAAAAGGTAATTTTAAAATCAGTTTTATTTTTAGTTCTTGTTTAAAATGAAGTGGACACACAGTCCTAACCAATCCTTTTTAAAATGTATTTTTCCTTCAATTAACCTTTCTGTTTCATTGTTGTTATTAATTTTCTGTACAAAATTTGCTTTTGAGAAACTCTGACCTCCAATAGCCTTAATCTGCATGTCCCAGGCGTCTACACTCCATCATGCTATTATACCCACAAAAGACTAAATGAATCAGCCCAGCTGCTTCAGCTCCTCCTACACATACGTGAAGCTGAAAAAAAGTTACAGGTCAAAGTCAGGCTGGGCACAGTGGCTCATGCCTAACACTTTGGGAGGCCGAGGTGGGTGGATCACTTAAGATCAGTAGTTCGAGATCAGCCTGGCCAGCATGGCAAAACTCCATCACCACTAAAAATACAAAAAGCATCTGGGCATGGTGGCACACACCTGTAATCCCAGCTACTCAGGATACTGAGGCAGAAGATGTGGAAGGATGAAAAATATTTATAAACAAATGATTTTTGTCCTTATTCAGAAAAGCCACCCTATCAAGCTTAGTAATGTGTATTACACATAGATATCATACACTTACTTCACTGCAACCCTATAACTTAACAAAAATAAAATGGGATGAAGTGGAGTGAGGAAAATGCATATTATACACCCTACATGAGAAAGGTTCTCCCTACATAAAAGGAGCAAGAACAACAATTAAAGCATATCTAGAATGCAAACATCTTAGGATGGTGTTTCTGCTGCTACAATAGAATATTACAGACTGTGGGGCCGGGTGCAGTGGCTCATGCCTGTAATCCCAGCACCTTGGGAGGCCAAGGCAGGCAAATCACCAGGTGAGGAGATCAAGATCATCCTGGCTAACATGGTGAAACCCCTTCTCTACTAAAAATACAAAAAAATTAGCCACACGTGGTGGCAGGCACCTGTAGTCCCAGCTACTCGGGAGGCTGAGGCAGGAGAATGGTGTGAACCCAGGAGGTGGAGCCTGCAGTGAGCTGAGATCGTGCCACTGTACTCCAACCTGGGCAACAGTGAGACTGTGTCTCAAGAAAAAGAATATTACAGACTTAGTAAGTTAAGAAGTTTAGTTTCTTAACAGTTCTGGAGGATGGGAAGTCCAAGGGCATGGCATTGGCAGATGATGAGTCCACATGGTGAGAGCATCACATAGCAAGGAAGTACACTAGAGACAGAGAGGAAATGGGGCCAAGCTTAACCTTTTATCAGGGGCTCCCTCCCACTATAGCTAACCCACTCCCATGATAACAGCATTAATCCCTTCATGAGGGCCCAGCCCTTATGACCTAATCACCTCATAAGGGCTCCCACTTTCAATATGGCTACAATGGCAATTAAATTTCAACATGAGTTTTGGTGGAGACAGTAAAACCATAGCACATACTATTTTATAATAACTCATTTTAAAATTAATCAAGATAAATGATTAATTTGATGATTATTGATCTGTTGGGACAACACTAAGTTATAGCTGAGTAACAGAATTTAATATTTCATATTCCTCATGAAAATCTATGAAGGCATGTTTCTATGGAAATAAATAGGCCAGGCATAGCGGCTCACACCTGTCATCCCAGCACTTTCTTTGAGGGGATGAAGCAAGAGGATGTCTTGAGCCCAGTTGGTCAAGGCTGAAGTAAGCTATGATCACACCACTGCAGTCTTAAGTAAATAAATTAATTAAATTAAATATTAGTCCTTAACTTTGAATTCACAAATGCTAGATTTGAGTAATGTAAAAACCACTTCCAATGGCTTTGATTTTGAAAAGTTGTAGAAATCATCTATGCTAATGGAATGACTTTATATAAAAATAATTTATCTTCTTTTAGAAGAATTTCACATTTTTGTTTTTCTTAAAATTTCCTTTGTGGCTTAATTTACTGGAATTAATTAGAGTGAGCATTGTCTTTCTCTAAATGCAAACCAAGTCATGGATTCACTCTTTACAGGTGAATCTAATACTTTGTTAACATTTTAATAAAAAAAATTAAAAAGAGAAAAATAAAAAAATATTTGAATAAAAACGTGCAGTTTTTATTGCATGAACTGACCTTGAAAAATTTTCTTCGTATACGTATATTTCAATATGAGGTACACACTATCAAATTTATAAATACATCTATTAAATTTAAAGCATAAACTTCTTCCCAATAAGCAGCTTAAGAGGGTAGCCATCCATGTTTATCCTTAATTTCCTCAATTGACAATCAACTTAATCCCAAAATGTTTTTGATGATTGAACCACTCTTCATGAATAACATAAATGCAATTTTTAGTATGGTGATCTGGCAAAACCATAATTAGAAGTACATAATATACTAAAATTGTATATCATGTACTTAAAATTGTACTAATACTCAGAAAAAATGGTGTCTGGTCTTAGCCTTGATATTAGCTTGCATGGTTACTAAGTCTTATTTATTTCAATGGTAACATAGTCTGTATTACCTACAATGTTAACTTGAAAATGAGAAATACATCAGTCATATAAATATGAACACAGGGATTAATTTAGCTCTTTAAAATATCTTAATATAAATGTAATCATTACTATGCATTTATACTATGATATCTTAATGTAAATATTTTTCACTCTCAAGGAATGAATAAACAGCCGGATCTTGGAAAATATGAAAAGGCTGGTTTCAATATTTTACTTTAGGCCAATTATTGCAGAGCTACATTGATTTCATTGAGGCCCAGAGCAACTTCTGCTTATATAGTGCTATTCCTCTTTGTTTGAGGTAATCGAATACCCCAAAATAGTTATTATAATGGGGCGCAATACCCCAAAATAGTTATTATTATGGGGCACTTGGGTCTGGAAGAATTTCTAATTTTAACATGTATGCTATAGAGCAGTTACCTGAGCCAAATTTAATTAAAAGTCTAATCACAAGACATTGTAGAAAATTTAGCCCCATTGAAAGTTATTTGGTAATATTTCTCTAAGAGATCCAGCATATTTCATTGCTGGGCACAGCCATGCTTTGCTTTATGTAACAAAAGTAACAGCATTATAAACTTCTTCAGCTAGCAACATTAAAGGCTATGTTTTACATAACCATATGTGTACACTGTTCCTAAGCTTTAATTGCTTTTCTGCCAGTGTAATTGTCTGGAAAGCTCACTTTGAATGTACTTCTGTTCCTAATTGTTAGCAGAAAATTGCATTTGGTAGTATAGTTGAAGGGAATTATTTTTAATAAGCTCGCACAGTATGAAAAACATTGGACGCATATCAAAAAGGTATCAAGGTTGTCAAAAGCATTCCTATGCAGACTTTTAGAAAAGGTAACATGTGGTTTGACGACCCTGGTGTTCTGCTGGCTGTCCTGACCTGGATTTTCTTTCTAGTGGCATCAGCTTTTAGAGAGATTAGAGTGAAATTGCACTGGAGATCTAGGAATATTAATCCATTTCTGATCAACCTTCCAGATCCCAGTAGGAAATACACTTAAGAGAAAACTATACATTTATCCCCAGTCTCCATGTCCAGCCTCTGTACATAGACCATGGGTTGGAGAATTTTCCTGACAGGACAGAAAGGTATGAGGCCACTCAGGAATAAAAGCATGTCCAATTTCTCCATTCCTATCAACATCACTATAGACCCTTCCCTTAGTTTTCATAGACAATACAAAGAAATAACAATTTAAGTAATTTCAGCCATGAAGTAAAAGAGTTATAGAAGTCTACAGTTTTTCCCTATGCCTATGGCTGCTACTCCAGACCCCCTTTAACCTGGGGCTCTGGGAGCAGTTGCTGGTCATGGGTGACCTTACCAGACATGTAGGAGAGCCTGAGTCAGAGGAAAGAAACCTGCAACCCCACTCACTTTGCAAAGTTCTGACTCATATTTTCAGTTGCCACAGATTAGTTAAATAACACCAGCTCCCAACCATACCACTCACATTTCAGCTGCCATGGTACATAAACTGTGAGAAAGTGCATGAAGGACAAATTCTGAGCTCTTCAGTTCCTACATCACTATATGGATAACGAGGCACATCATCATCACTGGTGACAGATCACATCTCCTCTTTCAACATCTGCTGGTGACTGCTCACAGGGTGCCTGCTATTCAGTGCATTCTCAGACAGCAAAGAGGGTAGTTGTGTTGTCTTCTTTGCTCCCAGTGATCAGTGCACTTGATGTCTTAAAAAACGGGAATTGCAAAGAAGGAATTGCCCAGAAAAGATAGACATGCAGGGAAGAAATGAGAAGTGATATCATGGGAAGTGAAACTCAAATCACACATAAATGGAATTACAGGAGAAATAGCTGAGGTGGGAACATTGCCACTGCTGTGCGGAGAGACCTTAGATAGGCAGCCAGGGAAACTCAGCCAAGAAGGACGTAGGAGTGTAAGGGAGGAGATGCTGTGATGAGAACGATGGAGATATTCCAGAAGAAGTGACTCCAGAAAAAAACATTAAAGAAACTTCTAGAGTTATTTCAGGATCTGAAAAGCACAAGAGATAAAATGGTGGAAGCTGATCCAAACTTCCCTGACATCTCTCCTCAGAGCTCATCACGTGTTCCCAACTCCTCACATTTCATCATTATTTCATCATTATTGTCATCATTCCCTATTTGTGTTACTGTCTCCCTCCAAGGGGCGGGAGACTTTAGTCTTCAGTGTTATGCTCTGCTGTTGCTTATTTCTCCTCCCTCAATATCCAATAATTTCCCACCTAAAACAATGAAAATAGGACTGTACAGCTCATGGAATTCTTTTGATAAATTATATGAGATTTCTTTAGACGAGACACTGAAAAAAAAGTGCATAGAATCTGAAAACAAAGCCCTGTCATTTCTCCATCTCTTTATGTTTCCTTTCTTCTTATCCACCATTATGAATTCCCATGACTTTCCTGTTACTTTAGTCTTCTCTCAACTGACCTTCCCAAATCCATCCTTTATTCTCTCCAATCTCTCAAATACCCTCACTGTACGTTGACAAGCACCAGCTCCTTACCCAGAACCATAATACCCTCTAGAATTTGGCTTAGTGCGGCTTTCCAGGTGTATCTTTGGCTGCTCATGGATACTTTCGACTTCAGGACAAAGAAAGCTTGACTGATCTCTGATCATAGCCTGTGCTACTGTGGTGCTCTCTTTACACACACTGTCTTGAGTTTCTCCTCATTGACTCACCTCCAGTTTCTTCCCATCTCTTAGGGCTCAGCAAAAATTCATTTTTATTATCCCATCCAGAAATATTCTGTGTTGTTCCCTGATCTCATCATTTCTCTTCATCAGTTACCTTCCTTCTGTACTAATAATCTCTGTTAATATCATATCCACATGTCAAGACCTCCAGGGCAAGTTTCACTAGCTCCCACACTTCTGTGAGCTTCATTTCTCATTTAGACCCCATCTGAAGCCTCCCAAACTCTCCTCCCTGCCCACCACCTGGTTCCTTCGCTGGGTAGACCCTCCTAACTCACCAGGTTTCCACTGACCACCCTGCAAACGCTGCCTTGCACCCACTGCTCCTACCCCAAACAATATGGTTTGTTTTATTTTAAAAATTTATGTTTATGTCTATAAAACTAATGTCTATATAGATTTTGAAAAAATTAAAAAAAAACAATTGAAGAAATCATGTATTATTCCCCTATAGACATCAATGGCAAATGTCTTATACGTATCAATGTATATTGTGTGGTGTGGACATGTACCATTAAACATTGTCTCTCTTGTTGCTTGTTTATACCATTTCTAATTTTTCTTTCTCTTTTTTTTTTTTTTTTTTTTTTTGAGACAGAGTCTCACTCTGTTGTCCAGGCTGGAGTGCGGTGGCGCAATCCTGGCTCACTGCAACCTCAGCCTCCTGGGTTCAAGCAATTCTCCTGCCTCAGTGTCCTGAGTAGCTGGGATTACATGCATGTGCCACCACACCCAGCTAATTTTTTTTGTATTTTTAGTAGACACGGGGTTTCGCCCTGTTGCCAGGCTAGTCTCAAACTCCTGACCTCCAATGATCTGCCCGCCTCGTCCTCCCAAAGCACTGGGATTAGAAGCGTGAGCCACCAGGCCTGGCCATTTCTAATTTTTCATGTTGTACATAATGATGTGACAAGTAGTCTTGTAAGTAAATCTTTGCTTATATTTATATAATTCCTTAGAATAAATGCCTAGGAAATTTGTTTGCTGGGTCAAAGGGTGTGAGCATCCTCATATGTCTTAGTACAAGTCTTTCTATAAAGCAGAGTCAGTCATTTCACTCGCCTGAGCTTGCTATAAAAACAAAAACTATTTTGTCCACTCATTATGTGCAGGATAAGCTCTTTGGCATGGTTTATGGTTAATTATTTTTCTTAATTTTAAAATAATAAAGTGCTGCAGAAAAAAAAACCCCTAAATGTAGTTTTCTGTAATCTTAAACACCAAAGAAAACTACACTTGAAAAGGTGATATAGCTTTTTAAAATTTTTTCTATGCAAATACAAACATAAAATGTGATATGTTCATTTATCTTTTTATTTAATTATTTTTTACGCCATGTTATTCTGAACATTTATTTTGAGTTAATAAACATGGCCAAATGTTTACATCCAAATTTGTAATTTTGCCTCATCCTATTTAGTTACCGGATAGTATTCCATTGCCTGAATGTGCCTTAATTTATTTAAACTACACCCTTTTGGAATATTCAGGTTGTTTTTAATTTTTTCACTGTTGTAAGTAATGCTACCATCCTCCCCGTGTGTCACCTCCAGGGCACTTTTCATGATGAATTTCTAGAGCTGCATTTGCTATGTTTGCACATTTCAATTTTTATAGCCATTACCAAATTGCCTCTAAAAGGAGTAGATATACCACCAGCAGTACATAGAAATTGGGCGTCTCTACATTCTCTCTGAAACTGGACAAAGGCTTTTCAGTCCTTAACAATCTGTCCAGAAAAAAAATATTCCAAACATTTTATTGGTTATATCTGTTTATACCTTTCCTATGTTGACTTTTTTGACATGTGAATACATTTGGTTAGTGACTTCCTCTTCTCTGTGCACTTCACCTCCCACCTGCATTTCCGGTTCTCTCCTTTCCCTGGATTCCTTTCCTGCTTTCTCTTGGCTGGACAAGAGCCTTCCCACACTTTGTGAGGCAGAATTACACCTATGTCCGCTGTATGGTGGCGTGCTTTTATCTGCCAGACCTTGGGACACTGTGCGTTGGAGGATGTGTGCTTTTCCTCACGTGCCTGTATCTGATATCACAGAGTTCCTTAGCGATGATACCACATTGCATTCCTTTTTTTTTGAGACAAAGTGTTGCTCTTGTCCCCCAGGCTGGAGTGCAATAGCGTGATCTTGGCTCACTGCAACCTCCACCTCCAGAGTTCAAGCAATGCTCCTGCCTGAGCCTCCTGAGTAGCTGGGATTACAGGTGTCTGCCACCATGCCCAGCTGATTTTTATATTTTTAGTAGAGACAGGGTTTCCCCATATTGGCCAGGCTGGTCTCGAACTCCTGACCTCAGGCGATCCACCCACCTCGGCCTCCCAAAATACTGGGATTACAGGCGTGAGCCACCATACCTGGCTTCACTCCATTTTTTTTAACTTCCTTTACCTAGTGGAATTGTGTCTGGCATTTTGACTTTTAACAATTTTACATTTGAATAAAAAATGACTGACACTTACCTACATTTAAGTTTTGTTGTATCATATTTTTTGTTGGAGTCATGAGACATTTTCCAAGATGGCAAAACTCCATGGTACCAGGGTGCATGTTTGTTTTTCTGTGTAAGCTTCTCATTAGCATATAGCATAAAAACTGCCATGTGGCTTGTTCACAAAAGAAACACCCCCATGTAACCAGAACTCAGATAAAGAAAGGGAAAATTATCTGGACTCAGGATAGACCTTTGAGCTCTATTCAAATTGTCTCTTCTCCAGGACAATCACTATTAAGACTTCAGAAGAGTTTTGCCAAATTTGAATTTTATGTAAAAGATAATTGTCGGGCACGATGGCTTACGCCTGTAATCCTAGCACTTTGGGAGGCTGAGGCGGGCAGATTACCTGAGATCAGGAGTTCAAGACCAACCTGATCAACATGGTGAAACTCCGTCTCTATTAAAAATTAAAAAATAAGCAAGTTGTGTTGGCACACGCCTATAATCCCAGCTACTCGGGAGGCTGAGGCAGAAGAATTGCTTGAGCCTGGGAGGCAGAGGTTGCAGTGAGCCACGATCATTCCATTGCACTCCAGCCTGGTCAACAGATCAAGACTCTGTCTAAAAAAGAGAGAGAGAGATTGTACAGTTTTATTAATTATGTGTCTCACTTCATTTCCTCAATCTTCACACCCATTGATACCGTTAGATATTTCCTGATATAATTTATTTATCCATTCTGGGTGCTGATGGACATTTGGATGGTTCTGATGCAGTTTGGAGTTAATGCAAACTGTGCTGCTTTTAATATGCTTTGACATGTTACCTGGTGAATGTATGTATGCTTTTTCCATGGGTATACACTGAGGCCAGGAATTGCTGGGTAATGGTGAATCCTACCTTCCACAGTATTAGGTGCTATCAGTTTTCCAAAGTGGTTATTCTTACCCTCACTCCCTGAGAGGGTGTATATGAGAGAATTTCAGGAACTTCACTTTCTAACCAACAATGGGATTGATTGTTTTTTCATTTTAGCCATTCTACTGGGGGTGTGGTACCTTTTTATTTGCATTTCCCTGACGACTGATCAAGGTAAACACTTTTTTATATGTTTATTGGCCTTTTGAATATCCTCTTTTACTAATTGCCAGTTGAAGCCTTTTGCCCATTTTTTTATACTGAAATGATTTCTTTTGATAAACACAGGTTTTTAATTCCAATGAGTCATAATAATTTTTACTCATTTTTTTTCTTTACGGTTAGCAAATTTTTAAACTATATTTAAATGTATGCTATGCCACAAACTTTGTTAAGGTTGGCTTTAGTGATTTTGTGTCCAGATTGCTAGCTCCTCCCTCCCCAAAGCTATACAAATATTATCTTAGGTTTTCTTCTACAAAACTTAATTTACCTTTCACATTTACATCTCTATTCCACTGGGGATAAATTTTTGTGTACAGTATGGAGACTGAAGTGTCACAGATTTTTGTCCACAGTTAAGTTCAATTGACAATTTGCTGAAGTGATTTATTTCTTTATTGCACTATAGTACAAATTAGTAATTAACGAGACAACTAGATCTATGCAGATCTGTTTCCAAACTGTATTCCATTTCATTTATCTATTTGCTTATCTAGTACAAAACCTAACTTAATTCCTGATTTACTTTATAATACATCTTGATACCCAGTATCATAATCTAGCTTTGTTCTTCTTCATATAGATCACTGTGACTATTCTTGGCCTTCTGCACTTCCATATGAATTTCAGAAACACTCTTAATTTTTTACAAAAGAAATTGCCTGGATTTTTATTGATATCCCATGACATCAATAGATCATTCTGGGGAAAACTGACATCTTTTATAATACTGAACTTTCTGGTCCTTGATATTGTATACCTCTCCATTTATTTAGCTTTTGTATGATTTGTCTCAATGATGTTTTGCAGTTTTCTGGGTGAAAGTCCTGCACATTTTTTATTAGAATTATTTCCAGCTCTAGGATGCTTTCTGCTTAATGGCAAACATATGTGACCAGGTACTTCAGAATCCATAGTCCTCTTCTATTCTCCACCTAAGAACTTCGAAGATTTCATCCAGTCCTATAGTTTATAAACTATTTCTTTGTTGAAGACATACATGTTTATTTTCTCCACTCTGACTTCTCTCTGAAACTCCAACTTACGTGAACAGCTACCTACATACCCCTCCATCTATGTCTAGTTGACAACTTAAACTCAACAGGTCCAAGACAGAAACTCTGATTTTCCCCATCCCATAAACATACTGCACCGTTTCTCAGTTCACTGGATGACAACTCCACTTTTCCAGTTTCTGAGGGACAAACCTACAGGGCCAGCACATCCTCACCTCACGCACACCTCTTCCAAGCCTGTTTTCTCTCCCTTCAAAACGTATCCAGGACCTGACCAGTGCCTGGGTACCTCCATATTCAGCTCATCTCAGCACATACGCCACTTTCTTGGATTACTCAAAACGTTGACAGAGTGTCATTTTCCCTCCATGGCATGTTGTCAACAGAGCAAGCAAGCACGGCCAGTTCTTTAAATTGTTGGTGAGGACTCCTGCCTTGGTATATCATCCTTAAAATCCCGCATCGGTGTATCATCCTTAAAACAGCCTACAAAGCCCTCTGTGCGTAGGCACCTCTCTCCCACCATCCAATTCACAACCCCCATTCTTCTCTGCTCTCAGCTCTTCCTTCCCAGTCCCCCTTCCTCTGTTCTTGCTGCACTGGCTCCTGGCTGTCCTCAAATGCGGACGGTATGCCCCTTACGTGGGGCTTCTGCTTGGCTGAATTCTTACGTCTCACAGGATGCGACAAACACCCTTAACTCCTTCAAGGCTGCACCAAAATCTGCCTCTGCCAAGATGGCTTAGCCTAACCACCCCATTTAATACTTCAGGCTTCCCCTTCCTCCCCTAAGAATTAGTATCCCAGTGATTCTTTTCCTGTCTACTTTTTTATTTCTTCAATTGCATTTACCACCTACTAACATTCCATATTCTTCACTCATTTGTTATGGGTGCTGTGGACTGCCTGTCTCTTCCCTGTATTATTGTGGATGCTGTGGTTTGCCTATCTCTTCCCTGTACAACACGAACTCCACGAAGGCAGGACTCAACTTGGCAGATGTATGCAAAGTTCCTCGAGGTGCACTCAGTACACTCTTGGTGCCGAGTAAATGTTGAATTATTGAACTAAATCAAAAAGGGAACGTCTTATAGATGCAAAATGATGATCAACTTTATGAGTGATCAGGGAAAGTAATTTAAACAAGACACCATTCCACAACCATCAAATTTTCTATATATATGTAGAACTCTTAGTCTGACGGTAATCAGGTATTCCTAAAGATATAATAAAACAAGGGCAATACATACATTACCCTGGACCAAAGCAGTTAGAATCCCAAGGGAGAGCGAGTTAGCAAATCTGCTTTATCATGCTGGCCTAGAAAGATCCTTGCATCAGTACAGTGGAATATACAGTGCGGTACCACGTGTCAAAATTAAAATGTAGAAACAAACTGACCTTTAGTAAGGAACTACGAAAATAAAACACTTACAGTTTTAAAGTAAATTAACAAAGTTCTACCTTTTTTTCAGTATAACGGTCTCTCCCATAATAGTACAAAAGCAAATTGAGGCTGGGCTCAGTGGCTCACACCTCTAATCCCAGCACTTTGGGAGGCCGAGGCGGGTGGATCACAAGGTCAGGAGATCGAGACCTTCCTGGCTAACACAGTGAAACCCCGTGTCTACTAAAAAATACAAAAAAATTAGCCATGTGTGGTGGTGGGCACCTGTAGTCCCAGCTACTCGGGAGGCTGAGGCAGGAGAATGGCATGAACCCGGGTGGCAGAGCTTCCAGTGAGCCAAGATCACACCACTGCACTCCAACCTGGGCAACAAAGCAAGACTCCATCTCAAATAAAATAAAATAAATAAATAAAATAAAAGCAAATTGAAAGTGATACAAGCACACACATGTCAAGTAATATTTAATATGTAACTACTCTTAAACACACAGAGTAGTACAATATATTGTTTAGGAATACAAATACACACACATATGAAGCTTCTAAAAATATAAATGGGATGGGTGGAGCCAAGATGGCCAAATAGGAACAGCTCCAGTCTACAGCTCCCAGCATGAATGACGCAGAAGACGGGCGATTTCTCCATTTCCAACTAAGGTACCGGGTACATCTCACTGGGGAGTGTCGGAAAGTGGGTGCAGGACAATGGGTGCAGCCCACCAAGCGGGAGCCAAAGCAGGGGGAGGCATCAACTCACCCAGGAAGTGCAAGGGGTCAGGGAATTCCCTATCCTAGTCAAAGAAAGGGGTGACAGATGGCACCTGGAAAATCGGGTCACTCCCACCCTAATACTGGGCTTGCTTTTCCAATGGTCTTAGCAAACGGCACACCAGGAGATTATATCCCGTGCATGACTCAGAGGGTCCTACCCCCACGGAGCCTCACTCATTGCTAGCACAGCAGTCAGATCAAACTGCAAGGCTGCAGCGAGGCTGGGGGAGGGGCGCCCGCCATTGCCAAGGCTTGAATGACTAAAAAAACGGCCCAGAAGCTTGAACTGGGTGGAGCCCACCACAGCTCAAGGAAGCCTGCCTGCCTCTGTAGACTCCACCTCTGCAGGCAGGGCACAGACCAACAGAAGGCAGCAGAAACCTCTGCAGACTTAAATGTCCCTGTCTGACAGCTTTGAAGAGCGTAGTGGATCTCCCAGCACACAGCTTGAGATCTCAGAACAGACAGACTGCCTCCTCAAGGGGGTCCCTGACCCCTGAGTAGCCTAACTGGGAGGCACCCCCCAGTAGGGGCCAACAGACACCTCACACGGCCTGGTACTCTGAGACAAAACTTCCAGAGGAATGATCAGACAGCAGCATTTGCTGTTCACCAACATCTGCTGTTCTGCAGTCTCTGCTGCTGATACCCAGGCAAACAGGGTCCGGAGTGCACCTCCAGCAAACTCCAACAGATGTGCAGCTGAGGGTCCTGACTGTTAGAAGGAAAACTAACAAACAGAAAGGACATCCACACCAAAACCCCATCTGTACGTCATCATCATCAAAGACCAAAGGTAGATAAAACCACAAAGATGGGGAAAAAACAGAGCAGAAAAACTGCAAACTAAAAATCAGAACACCTCTCCTCCTCCAAAGGAACACAGCTCCTCACCAGCAATGGAACAAAGCTGGATGGAGAATGACTTTGACAAGTTGAGAGAAGAAGGCTTCAGATGATCAAACTACTCTGAGCTACAGGAGGAAGTTTGAACCCATGGCAAAGAAGTTAAAAACCTTGTAAAAAAAATTAAACGAATGGCTAACTAGAATAACCAATGCACAGAAGTCCTTAAAGGACCTGATGTAGCTGAAAACCAAGGCACGAGGACTACGTGACAAATGCACAAGCCTCAGTAGCCAATACAATCAACAGGAAGACAAGGTATCAGTGATGGAAGATGAAATGAATGAAATGAAGCAAGAAGAGAAGTTTAGAGAAAAAAAGAATAAAAAGAAACAAACAAAGCCTCCAAGAAATATGGGACTATGTGAAAAGACCGAATCTACGTCTGATTGGTGTACCTAAAAGTGACAGGGAGAATGGAACCAAGTTGGAAAACACTCTGCAGGATATTAACCAGGAGAAATTCCCCAATCTAGCAAGGCAGGCCAACATTCAAATTCAGGAAATCCAGAGAACGCCACAAAGATACTCCTCGAGAAGAGCAACTCAAAGACACATAATTGTCAGATTCACCAAAGTTGAAATGAAGGAAAAAATGTTAAAGGCAGCCAGAGAGAAAGGTCCGGTTACCCACAAAAGGAAGCCCATCAGACCAACAGCGGATCTCTCGGCAAAAACTCTACAAGCCAGAAGAGAGTGGGGGCAATATTCAACATTCTTAAAAGAAAGAATTTTCAACCCAGAATTTCATATCCAGCCAAACTAAGCTTCATAAGTGAAGGAGAAATAAAATACTTTACACACAAGCAAATGCTGAGAGATTTTGTCACCACCAGGCCTGCCCTAAAAGACCTCCTGAAGGAAGCACTAAACATGGAAAGGAACAACCGGTACCAGCCACTGCAAAATCATGCCAAAATGTAAAGACCATCGAGACTAGGAAGAAACTGCATCAACTAACGAGCAAAATAACCAGCTAACATCATAATGACAGGATCAAATTCACACATAACAATATTAACCTTAAATGTAAATGGGCTAAATGCTCCAATTAAAAGACAGAGACTGGCAAATTGCATAAAAAGTCAAGACCCATCAGTGTGCTCTATTCAGGAAACCCATCTAACTTGCAGAGACACACATAGGCTCAAAATAAAAGGATGGAGGAAGATCTACCAAGCAAATGGAAAACAAAAAAGGCAGGGGTTGCCATCCTAGTCTCTGATAAAACAGACTTTAAACCAACAAAGATCAAAAGAGACAAAGAAGGCCATTACATAATGGTAAAGGGATCAATTCAACAAGAAAAGCTAGCTCTCCTAAATATATATGTACCCAATACAGGAGCACGCAGATTCTTGAAGCAAGTCCTTAGACACCTACAAAGAGACTCAGACACCCACACAATAATAATGGGAGACTTTAACACCCCACTGTCAACATTAGACAGATCAACGAGACAGAAAGTTAACAAGGATACCCAGGAATTGAACTCAGCTCTGCACCAAGCGGACCTAATAGACATCTACAGAACTCTCCACCCCAAATCAACAAAATATACATTCTTTTCAGCACCACACCACACCTACTCCAAAACTGACCACATAGTTGGAAGTAAAGCACTCCTCAGCAAATGTAAAGGAACAGAAATTACAACAAACTGTCTCTCAGACCACAGTGCAATCAAACTAGAACTCAAGATAAAGAAACTCATTCAACACTGCTCAACTATATGGAAACTGAACAACCTGCTCCTGAATGACTACTGAGTAAATAATGAAATGAAGGCAGAAATAAAGATGTTCTTTGAAACCAACGAGAACAAAGACACAACATACCAGAATCTCTGGGACACATTCAAAGCAGTGTGTAGAGGAAAATTTATAGCACTAAATGCCCACAAGAGAAAGCAGGAAAGATCTAAAATTGACACCCTAACATCACAATTAAAAGAACTAGAAAAGCAAGAACAAACACATTCAAAAGCTAGCAGAAGGCAAGAAATAACTAAGATCGGAGCAGAACTGAAGGAAATAGAGACGCAAAAAACCCTTAAAAAAGTCAATGAATCCAGGAGCTGACTTTTTGGACAGATCAACAAAACTGATAAACCACTAGCAAGACAAATAAAGAAGAAAAGAGAGAAGAATCAAATAGACATAATAAAAAATGATAAAGGTAATATCACCACCGATCCCACAGAAACACAAACTACCATCAGAGAATACTATAAACACCTCTATGCAAATAAACTAGAATATCTAGAAAAAATGGATAAATTCCTCGACACATACATCCTCCCAAGACTAAACCAGGAAGAAGTTGAATCTCTGAATAGACCAATAACAGGGTCTGAAATTGAGGCAATAATCAATAGCTTACCAACCAAAAAAAGTCGAGGACCAGATGGATTCACAGTCCAATTCTGCCAGAGGTACAAAAAGGAGCTGCTACCAATCCTTATTCAATTATTCCAATCAAAAGAAAAAGATGGGAATCCTCCCTAACTTATTTTATGGGGCCAGCATCACCCTGAAAGCAAAGCCTGACAGAGACACAACAAAAAAAGAGAATTTTAGACCAATATCCCTTATGAACATCGATGCAAAAATCCTCAATAAAATACTGGCAAATGGAATCCAGCAATACATCAAAAAGTTTATCCACAATGATCAAGTGGGTTTCATCCCTGGGATGCAAGGCTGCTTCAACATACGAAAATCAATAAATGTAATCTAGCATATAAACAGAACCAACGACAAAAACCACATGATTATCTCAAAAGATGCAGAAAAGGCCTTTGACAAAATTCAACAACCCTTCATGCTAAAAACTCTCAAAAAATTAGGTGTTGATGGGACGTATCTCAAAATAATAAGAGCTATCTATGACAAACCCACAGCCAATATCATACTGAATGGGAAAAACTGGAAGCATTCCCTTTGAAAACAGGCACAAGACCAGGATGCCCTCTCTCACCACTCCTATTCAATATAGTGTTGGAAGTTCCGGCCAGGGCAATTAGGCACGAGAAAGAAATAAAGAGTATTCAATTAGGAAAAGAGGAAGTCAAATTGTCCCTGTTGGCAGATGACATGATTGTATATCTAGAAAACCCCATTGTCTCAGCCCAAAATCTCCTTAAGCTGATAAGCAACTTCAGCAAAGTCTCAGGATACAAAATCAATGTGCAAAAATCACAACTATTCTCATACGCCAATAACAGACAAACAGAGAGCCAAATCATGAGTGAACTCCCATTCACAATTGCTTCAAAGAGAACAAAATACCTAGCAATCCAACTTACAAGGGATGTGAAGGACCTCTTCAAGGAGAACTACAAACCACTGCTCAAGGAAATAAAAGGATACAAACAAATGGAAGAACATTCCATGCTCATAGGTAGGAAGAATCAATATTGTGAAAATGGCCATACCGCCCAAGGTAACTTATAGATTCAATGCCATCCCCTTCAAGTTACCAATGACTTTCTTCACAGAATTAGAAAAAACTACTTTAAAGTTCATATGGAACCAAAAAAGAGCCCAAATCACCAAGTCAATCCTAAGCCAAAAGAACAAAGCTGGAGGCATCACGCTACCTGACTTCATACTACACTACAAGGCTACAGTAACCAAAACAGCATGGTACTGGTACCAAAACAGAGATAGAGACCAATGGAACAGAACAGAGCCCTCAGAAATAATGCTGCATATCTACAACTATCTGATCTTTGACAAACCTGACAAAAACAAGCAATGGGGAAAGCATTCCCTATTTAATAAATGGTGCTGGGAAAACTGGCTAGCCATATGTAGAAAGCTGAAACTGGATCCCTTCCTTACACCTTACACAAAAATTAATTCAAGATGGATTAAAGACTTAAATGTTAGACCTAATACTATAAAAACCCTAGAAGAAAACCTAAACAATACCATTCAGGACACAGGCATGGGTAAGGACTTCATGTCTAAAATGCCAAAAGCAATGGCAACAAAAGCCAAAACTGACAAATGGTATCTAATTAAACTAAAGAGCTTCTGCACAGCAAAAGAAACTACCATCAGAGTGAACAGGCAACCTACAGAATGGGAGAAAATTATTGCAACCTCCTCATCTGACAAAGGGCTAATATCCAGAATCTACAATGAACTCCAACAAATTTTCAAGAAAAAAACAAACAACCCCATCAAAAAGTGGGCAAAGGATATGAACAGACACTTCTCAAAAGAAGACATTTATGCAGCCAAAAGACACATGAAAAAATGCTCATCATCACCGGCCATCAGAGAAATGCAAATCAAAACCACAATGAGATACCATCTCACACCAGTTAGAATGGCGATCATTAACAAGTCAGGAAAAAACAGGTGCTGGAGAGGATATGGAGAAATAGGAACACTTTTACACTGTTGGTGGGACTGTAAACTAGTTCAACCATTGTGAAGTCAGTGTGGCGATTCCTCAGGGATCTAGAACTAGAAATACCATTTGACCCAGCCATCCCATTACTGGGTATATACCCAAAGGATTATAAATCATGCTGCTATAAAGACACATGCACACGTATGTTTATAGCGGCACTATTCACAATAGCAAAGACGTGGAACCAACCTAAATGTCCAACAACGATAGACTGGATTAAGAAAATGTGGCACATATACACCATGGAATACTATGCAGCCATAAAAAATGATGAGTTCATGTGCTTTGTAGGGACATGGATGAAGCTGGAAACCATCATTCTCAGCAAACTATCTCAAGGACAAAAAACTAAATACCGCATGTTCTCCCTCATAGGTGGGAATTGAACAATGAGAACACACGGACACAGGAAGGGGAACATCACACACCGGGGACTGTTGTGGGGTAGGGGGAGTGGGGAGGGATAGCATTAGGAGATATACCTAATGTTAAATGATGAGTTAATGGGTGTAGCACACCAGCATGGCACATGTATACATATGCAACAAACCTGTAGGTTGTGCACATGTACCCTAAAACTTAAAGTATAATAATAAAATAAAATAAAAGAAATACAATTATAGGAATTAGTCTATATAAAAAAGAGAAAAACCCTTCAAAAAATCAATGAATCCAGGAGCTGGTTTTTTGAAAAGATCAACAAAATTGATAAACTGCTATCAAGAAAAATAAAGAAGAAAAGAGAGAAGAATCAAATAGACACAATAAAAAATGATAAAAGGGATATCACCACCCATCCCACAGAAATACAAACTACCATCAGAGAATACTATAAACACCTCTATGCAAATAAACTAGAAAATCTAGAAGAAATGGATAAATTCTTCGACACATACATCCTGCCAAGACTAAACCAGGAAGAAGTTGAATCTCTGAATAGACCAATAACAGGGTCTGAAATTGAGGCAATAATCAGTAGCTTACCAACCAAAAAAAGTCCAGGACCAGATGGATTCACAGCCGAATTCTACCAGAGGTACAAGGAGGAGCTGGTACCATTCCTTCTGAAACTATTCCAATCAATAGAAAAAGAAGGAATCCTCCCTCGTTTTATGAGGCCAACATCATCCTCATACCAAAGCCTGGCAGAAAAAGAACAAAAAAAGAGAACTTTAGACCAATATCCCTGATGAACATCGATGCAAAAATCCTCAATAAAATACTGGCAAACCAAATCCAGCAATACATCAAAAAGCTTATCCACAATGATCAAGTGGGCTTCATCCCTGGGATGCATGGCTTGTTCAACAAATGAAAATCGATAAATGTAATCCAGCATATAAACAGAACCAAAGACAAAAACCACATGATTATCTCAATAGATGCAGAAAAGGCCTTTGACAAAATTCAACAACCTTTCATGCTAAAAACTCTCAATAAATAAGGTATTGATGGGACGTATCTCAAAATAATAAGAGCTATCTATGACAAACCCACAGCCAATATCATACTGAATAGGCAAAAACTGGAAGCATTCCCTTTGCAAACTGGCACAAGAGAGGGATGCCCTCTCTCACCAGTCCTATTCAACATAGTGTTGGAAGTTCTGGCCAGGGCAATCAGGCAGCTGGAGGAAATAAAGAGTATTCAATTAGGAAAAGAGGAAGTCAAATTGTCCCTGTTGGCAGATGACGTGATTGTATATGGAGAAAACCCCATCGTCTCAGCCCCAAATCTCCTTAAGCTGATGGGCAACTTCAGCAAAGTCTCAGGATACAAAATCAATGTGCAAAAATCACAAGCATTCTCATATGCCAATAACAGACAAACAGAGAGCCAAATCATGAGTGAACTCCCATTCACAATTGCTTCAAAGAGAATAAAATACCTAGGAATCCAACTTACAAGGGATGTGAAGGACCTCTTCAGGGAGAACTACAAACCACTGCTCAAGGAAATAAAAGAGGATACAAACAAATGGAAGAACATTCCATGCTCATAGGTAGGAAGAATCAATATTGTGAAAATGGCCATACTGCCCAAGGTAATTTATAGATTCAATGCCATCCCCTTCAAGTTACCAATGACTTTCTTCACAGAATTAGAAAAAACTACTTTAAAGTTCATATGGAACCAAAAAAGAGCCCGAATCACCAAGTCAATCCTAAGCCAAAAGAACAAAGCTGGAGGCATCACCCTACCTGACTTCAAACTGTACTACAAGGCTACAGTAACCAAAACAGAGATAGAGACCAATGGAACAGAACAGAGCCCTCAGAAATAATGCTGCATATCTACAACTATCTGATCTTTGACAAACCTGATAAAAACAAGCAATGGGGAAAGCATTCCCTATTTAATAAATGGTGCTGGGAAAACTGGCTAGCCATATGTAGAAAGCTGAAACTGGATCCCTTCCTTACACCTTATACAAAAATTAATTCAAGATGGATTAAAGACTTAAATGTTAGAACTAAAACCATAAAAACCCTAGAAGAAAACCTAAGCAATACCATTCAGGACATAGGCATGGGCAAGGACTTCATGTCTAAAACACCAAAAGCAATGGCAACAAAAGCCAAAATTGACAAATGGGATCTAAATAAACTAAAGAGCTTCTGCACAGCACAAGAAACTACCATCAGAGTCAACACTCAACCTACAGAATGGGAGAAAATTTTTGCAATCTACTCATCTGACAAAGGGCTAATAACCAGAATCTACAATGAACTCTAACAAATTTACAAGAAAAAAACAACCCCTTCAATAAGTGGGTGAAGGATATGAACAGACACTTCTCAAAAGAAGACATTTATGCAGCCAAAAAACATATGAAAAAATGCTCATTATCACCGGCCATCAGAGAAATGCAAATCAAAACCACAATGAGATACCATCTCACACCAGTTAGAATGGCGATCATTAACAAGTCAGGAAAAAACAGGTGCTGGAGAGGATGTGGAGAAATAGGAACACTTTCACACTCTTGGTGGGACTGTAAACTAGTTCAACCATTGTGGAAGTCAGTGTGGCCATTCCTCAGGGATCTAGAACTGGAAATACCATTTGACCCAGCCATCCCATTACTGGGTATATACCCAAAGGATTATAAATCATGCTGCTATAAAGACACATGCACACGTATGTTTATAGCGGCACTATTCACAATAGCAAAGACTTGGAACCAACCCAAATGTCCAACAATGATAGACTGGATTAAGAAATTGTAGCACATATACGCCATGGAATGCTATGCAGCCATAAAGAAGTATGAGTTCATGTCCTTTGTAGGGACATGGATGAAGCTGGAAACCATGATTCTCAGCAAACTATCTCAAGGACAAAAAACCAAACGCCTCATGTTCTCACTCATAGGTGGGAGTTGAACAGTGAGAACACATGGACACAGGAAGGGGAACATCACACACTGGGGCCTGTTGTGGGAAGTGGGGAGGGATAGCATTAGGAAATTTATCTAATGTTAAATGGTGAGTTAATGGGTGCAGCAGACCAACATGGCACATGTATACACATGTAACAAACCTGCACGTTGTGCACATTTACCTTAAAATTTAAAGTATAATAATAATAAAATATATATATATATACACAAATGGGGATATTACATTACAACTTCAGAGTGTGTGATAAGAGAAAGAACCAATGATTTGGTGGAGTGGAGGCAAAAAATTGTTGCATGTATAAGATTTTTTGTTTTATAAAAAGTTCTGGTCTGGGCGTGGTGGCTCATGCCTGTAATCACAGCACTTTGGGAGGCCGAGGCAGGTGGATCACCTGAGGTGAGGAGTTCAAGACCAGCCTGGTCAACTTGGTGAAACCCCATGTCTACTATAAATACAAATAATAATACTAATAATAACTGAACATGACAGCTCATGCTTGTAGTCCTAGCTTCTTGGGAGGCTGAGGCAGGAGAATCACTTGAACCCAGGAAGTAGAGGTTGCAGTGAGCCAAGATCATGACACTGCACTCCAGCCTAGGAGAGGGAGCGACATCCCATCTCTAGAAAAAAAAAAAAAGTTCTGACAAAAATAGGGCAAAATGTAGGAAAATAAAGATCTACTATCTGCTATACTTTTCTCTATATTTAAGGATTTATCTTGATTATTTTAAAAATACACCACACATTCCATACCTTACACAGGGTGACATAAGTGTTTTCTTTAAACATGTAATATATGCAAAACAAAGCAGTTGAGACTCGTGGGTAGTTTTTTTGTTTGTCGTCCACTGTGACTTTACCTCCCTTGTAATCGGTGTGCAATACGCAGGAAATAAAAAACTGTAAATCAGACCCATTCAGGGCTGCTAATTTTTGTTGGTGTTTCAACTAAACCCTTCTTGCTTCAATGGCCCTAAATAGGACTACATAGATCCTGCTGCCTCTGAATGTGAGTCCTTAGGCATAGAGATTTTTAAGTCACTCTGAAAAATACCTGGAAGTCTAATAGAAGTATGGTAAAATTTTATAAAGAAGGGAGTTTATGTTACCCATTTTTGCCTTTCTGTTGGTATTTTAAATGATGAAGTTTTAAAATATAATTTTTAGAAAGAAGTACAACACAAGAGCAGACCATTCAGACACAGGTAGAAAAGGTCGTAATGGAGTAAGCTCTTTTCTCCTGCTGTGGCTGCTGCCACCTAGCGGGGCATTTCGTGAACAACACTGACTGCACCGAAGCTGCCTTCCATCTGCTTCAAACACATCTGTCAATGCCAAGCTTATATTTGGTTTGTGTGCCGTAGAAAGCTTAAATTATACAGAGATCTGGAAGTCTCAAAAGCAATCCTTTTATCCTAAAATGGATAGCTCAGCATCTAGCTCACCTATCTCTCTGCGTCCATGACAGACTGAGGTCCTGTGTGCTTTATCCTAATTTACACTCCTGAATTATCTTCGGTGAGCCTCATTTTCCTCATCCTTCATTGTCAGACAGTAAGTACCGAGGCACATGTTGGTGGGGGTTGTGTGAAAGCGAAATGAGCTTGCTTACTTTACAGCTATGGGGTCAGGACATGCTCGATGCACGGCAAGTAGCGCTACTGTGTTCTCTCTTGCAGCCTCCATTTCATTGTTTTCGACACGGAGATGGCTCACGACATCCTCAAGGTCTGGGACGGGCCGGTGGACAGTGACATCCTGCTGAAGGAGTGGAGTGGCTCCGCCCTTCCGGAGGACATCCACAGCACCTTCAACTCACTCACCCTGCAGTTCGACAGCGACTTCTTCATCAGCAAGTCTGGCTTCTCCATCCAGTTCTCCAGTAGGTGGCACAGCGTGCTTCTTCTTTACCTTGATATCAAAGTCTTGTCATGAACACAGATCTCCCTCCATTTATATTCACCAGCGTCTCCTTACACAGATGCAATTTATTGAGCCTAATTTGAAGTTAGGAAAATGCATGTTGCAGAGAAGAGTTCTCTTCCCCCATTGCTGGGTTCATGGCTGAGGCCACGATAACAGAAGCCAGCTTAAGAGAAATGCATAACCAAACTCATTTGATGTGCATTTTGCATGCCACTGGAACCTTCAGAAATGAAGACCCAAAGAAAGAGAGAAAATTGTGTGTTTTAATGTATAGTCGTGCAGAAGTATGATTAGAGGACGAAAAGATAGAATTTAGTGGTGATAAACGGGGAGGAACTTAAGTCTCCTTTGCTCAGCTTCTTCCCTGTGTGTCTATGTCTTCATTCCTTTCCTCTGCATCCTGGGAGTGTCCTTCTGGAATGAAGGTTTCATGACCTGCTTCCAAGGAAGGCCAGAGAATTATTCTATGCCCTGCTTCAGGGCAGAAGGGGCAAGTAGAGGCTGGAGTGGCTTTCCTGCTTCTGCAGTTTCCTCAAAACTGCATATTTTGGAGTGGTTCTGAACACTGTCAGTATCAAAGGAAAATTTTGTTTTAGGGAATTCTTTTCATTATAAGATCAGGACCAGCAATGGACCTACTTAGTTACATAAAAAAAAAAACGTACGACTTTAAAGGTTTCAATTAGTCAGTAAATTTCTAGACTTGGATGCAAGACAGGTGTGGGTCTCTACATAAATGTAGAGCCTATCTTCAGGGCTCCCCTAACCCAGCCCCGATTCCAGGTTCCCTACATGCCCCAGTCTGACACTTTCTTTATGTAATGAAGTCTCTCTGCAAACAACCTGCTAATCAAACACGCTTTGATTCTCTGCTTGCAACTTCCCGGTTCAGGACGGTCCGTGAATTTTTTTTCCACCTTAGGGATAAAGTTTCAAGAAGCTAATATGACAGAGGAACCTCTGCTGAATTACTAGTGTGAAACCACATCTGCACACGTGAACTATAATCTCCTAAAGATAGTTGCCATTTTTGCTGTCTAGCCCATTTTTGATGAAAGGTTTCCGAAGGAGGAAGGAGTGGAGATATTTTGTGGCAGTTCAGCCTTTTAGTGCCCTTCGGATGGCACCGTGGAGAGATGCCATATTATTGGGCAGCACACAAGGTCAGCCATCATCATAAAACAAGTGGAATTTGCACACAAACACATTCAGACTCAATTTATCTCTTGGCAGCTCACTGACAAGTCATATTTAGGATTTACATAAGAAAATTGAGTTAGGTCAGTTTAATGCTTTAAAAGGTTGCTAATATAATTGAGGTTATAGTCTGCACAATTTCTTACCTCTGGTTATAGTCTGCACAATTTCTTACCTCTGGTTTCACTGTGCTCTGAACAGTGATTTGCAAACACGTGCCTGTGGAATAGTACTTGTACATGGTAAAATTTTCACTGGTCCTTCACAAAAAATATGAAAGTAAGAGTGTTCCAACTATCCTGCCTTGGGGGAAAAAAAGTCCTTTACTCCAAAATTATATCACTCTTGTTTTTTGTTGTGATATAAAATTTTCTTAATCTTTTGAAATGGTGGCAAGAGCAGATGGTAGAATTGTGATTCATTGGCCTTATTTAGCAAAACAAAAAAGTTGAGAAAGTTATGAGATTATGTTCATTTTCCTCTTCTTTCCATTCTGTATTCTCCAGGCATTTTTTTCAACAGGTTTTATTTTTTTAGAGTAGTTTTGCACTGGCAGTAAGATTGAGTAGAAGGCACAGAGTTCCCACGTGCTCTCTGTCCACAGCACACAGCCTCCTCCCTGTCAACATCCCCACAGAGTGGTCCATTTGTTGCAATCAATGAACCTACACTGACCCATCATTATCAGCCGATATCCACAGTTTTCTCCGGGTTCACTTTTGGTGTTATGCATTCCATGGGTATATTATTCCATCTTCATATTGCTGTAAAGAACTATCTGAGACTGGGTAATTTATCAAGAAAAGAGGTTTAATTGAGTCACAACTCAGCAGGCTGTACAGAAGGCATGGCTGGGAGGGCCTCAGGAAACTTACAGTCATGGCAGAAGGTAAAGGGGAAGCAGTCACATCTTCCACGACCGGGGAAGGGGAAAGACAGAGTGAAGCGGAAGGTGCTACGTGCTTTTAAACAATCAGATCTCCTGAGAACTCTATCATGAAGACAGCACTGGGGGATGGTACTAAACCATTAGAAACTACCCCCATGATCCAATCAACCCCTCCAGGCACTACCTCCAACAGTGGGGATTACAATTCAACATGGGTGGGGACGCAGATCCAAACCATATCAATGAGTTTGGAAAAATGCATCTGTAGTAATAACATCACCAACAGTCATTTCCCTGCCCTAACAATTCCCTGTGTTCTGCCTGTTCATCCCTTCCTTCCTCCTAATTCCTAGCAATCACTCTTTTCACTGTCTCCATAGTTTTGTCTTTTCCTGAAAGTCACAGAGTTAGAATCACGCAGTGTGTGGCCTTTCATGTTGTCTTCTTTCACTTAGTAAGACACTTTCAAGCTCCAGGTCTTTTCATGGCTGTACGGATCATTTCTTTTTAGCAGCGAATAATATTCTATTGACTTGTTGTACCACAGTTTATTTACCCGTTTTTTTCCTTGAGATGGAGTCTTGCTTTGTCGCCCAGGCTGGAGTGCAGTGGCATGATCTTGGCTCACTGGAGCCTCTGCCTCCTGGGTTCCAGGAATTCTCCTGCCTCAGCCTCCCGAGTAGCTGGGATTACAAGCACGCACCAACACACCTGGCTATTTTTTTGTATTTTTAGCCTAGACAGGGTTTCATTATCCTGTCCAGGCTAGTGTCAAACTCCTTACCTCAGGTGATCCACCTGCCTCAGCCTCCCAAAGTGCTGGGATTACAGGCGTGAGCCACCTCGCCCAGCCTGTTTACCCATTTTCTTATTGAAGGACATACGGGTTGCTTCAAAATTTTGGCAATTATGCCTAAAGCTGCCTCTAAACATCTGTGTGCAGGTTTTTGTGTGGACGTAAGTTTTCAGTTCACCTGACTAGATACCTAAGAAGAGGGTTCATGGATTATGTGGAAAGAATGTACTTCATTTTACTCCTGGCCTTTTAAAATCTTCCTGTTTTAACAATCACTGTTGAAACCTGGCCATCACTTCTTTTTTTTCTATATATTCATGATTCTCTCTTCAGAGAACATCTTTCTAACTTGGGTAGAAAAAAAGAAGAAGACCCTTTATTATAATTATTTGAGGATCATGGAAATGTTTCTTCTCATATAATTAATTATTAGTGTTTAGTAAGAAATAAGCATGAAGACACCATGAAAGTTTCTACAGAAATGACAATTACTATTTTTTACTCAGTTTTCCATGTGTACTAGTTTGAATCATATGAAATTGTCATTTTTATACGTAAAAAATGATTGAATGTTGACAATTTCACATGGTTTCACGTAACACTTGGATAGGATCCATCCCTCCAACCCTATCACTAGTTAATAAATCCAAATTCTGGTATAAATTTTCAGAAATACTCATTTAGGGGCTAGAATATAACATTGACTCTGAGGCATTTAAATGAAGGATTTTCTGCAAGATTGTCTTTAGAAGTTTATTGAAAGGAAAAACAAGATATAAAAACTTAGAGTGGTACAACATTTAAAAAGCATAGTCTAGACTACAACTCTGGAAATGTGAGTTTCTATCTTGACCTCTAATGCTTTGAGACTGACCTTTTGTCTCTGTTATTTTTACTTTATTTATGAAATGAGGATAGAGTATCAATTTCTAAGGACATTTCTGTCTTCCATAATTCCACGCTGGATGTCATTTATTTTCCCTTTGGCCCCAAATCTACTACTTTCTCTTCCTTTAACTACTCTGTGGCTCTCGAGGCAAACCTGTATTGGGTTATTCCAATAAGAAGCCCCAGCATGGGTGAAGAGATGGGGCAGGAGGGCATGTCAGGGCACAGAGGCCTAGTACCTCTCTCTTCAGGTACCCCGGGGGCCGATGTGCCCCAAGATCAACACGGACGGCTTTGCTCAAGCTGCTGCATTGACCATCTCTTTCCGGATCTCTGTACTAATTCCAAGTAACCTTCCTGATACGGTTAGGTTCTACGTCCCCACCCAAATCTCACCTTGAATTGTAATGCTCATAATCCATATGTGTCAAGGGTGGGACCAGGTGGAGGTGGTTGGATCATGAGGGCAGTTTCCCCCATGCTGTTCTCATGACAATAAGTAAGTCTCATGAGATCTGTTGGTTTTATAAGGGTCTGGCATTTCTCCTGCTTGCACTTCTCCTTTCTAACACCCTCTAAAGAAGGTGCTTTGCTTCCCCTTCACCTTCCTCCATGATTGTAAGTTTCCTGAGGCCTCCCCAGCCATGCTGAACTGTGAGTTAATTAAACCTCTTTCCTTTATAAATCACCCAGTCTCAGGTATGTTTTTATTAGCTGCATGAGAGCAGACTAATATAATCCCTTCTTCCTAGAATTTCCAAACCCAACCTTAGGCAAGAAACTCTCAAATTATCCCACTGGGATTGTCATACGTACCATGTGGCATTTTAAAAAATACAGTTCTGTAAAGGACCTTGGCAAGCATATGAAATGCCTGTGAGTGTACTACAATCAGGGCTGTAAAATAAAAGTCATTTTCCTAAGACAAATTATATCCAGTTCTAGCTCCCATGCATTCGAGTTGACAAGAAGTCCAATACCAGTCTATTTTTAAAATCTGCTGCCAATTTTGGATGGCCAGGGAGTTGCTGGATGATTCAGTGTGGTGAGTCCAGAGAGGGACATGGTCCTGCCTCTCCACTAGTCATTATATTCCCTCGTGCTCTCATTTGGGGGCCAACGGTCTGGGCGGCCACAGTAATTCATGTCATGTGTTTCTCTCTAAGGATCTCAGGCTGGAACACGAAGACGCTGGTCTGACCACCCCAAAGCCAGTCATTCAGCTACTCTCCACAAAATGTAGCTTGCCACTTCTGGGAACCAGTGAGAATCGGGCACCAGTCTCCATCTCCCTGAGAACCTGATAAACATTTGACTCCTACACCTGGAATAAATCATGTCCTGGTTTTCTAGTTTTAGAAAAGAAGGTTCCTATAACCCCTCAGTCGTAATTAAGAAACTGACCCAGTTACCCTGCTTCACTGCAGGAAGAAACTGGGCTGTTATGTCCCTCTCACTCCACCCACATTCGTCCCCTCACTGGCGAATCCAGCCATGAAACTAAATCAAGCTGGTGTCTTTCCAAACCAAAGGTGGGAAACTCTTCACAAAGTGCAAAACAGCCTGTCCATCACACCCAAGAAGCCATCACTACTCTTTTGTAGGTGGGAGGATGGGTGGGAAGATGGAAATCTCTCATTTTTTTGTCTTTATGAACCTGGGACCAAAAAAAAAACGAGGAACTTTACCTATAAATTAGATTGTGTTGTGATTCATAAACCATGCTAATTTTATAATTTAAAACATTGGAATTAGTTATGATTTTAAAAATTTTTAAATAGAACTCAAAAAGAAATGTTTTCCTCATATGATTGATGTTTTAAGTGTGGCCATTGTTTCCAAGCAAAAATGACATTTATTCAATTGTATTAAATGAGATTTCTTAGTAGGCTATTTTTACTTGATTCTATGTCAGTAACATGTGAAATAAGCATTAGAGGTGTGATTAAATTATTGGAGAGAAAATAGTTATGTGAATATTTGTTTTCTTGGACACATTTGAATTACTATATTTTTCCCAAGCACACTTTGAAGTACATTTTAAAAAATAATTTAACATCAGGGTTGCACTACCTCTCTATCTTGTAATTCCATGTTACATTGGAGCTTTTTAAACACTTATTTGACTCTCTCTTCTGGAAACTCTTTCTTCAGTTGTTTTTCATCTTATTATTCTCTCTTGTTCCTCCTTATTCCAAGGGTCACTCTATCATTGGCTCTTTGGCTGATTCATATATTTTTTCCCTTGAAACTCTAAAGATCAGATGCCAGGAGGGCTTGTCCTTGGGTCTCCCTTTCTTCTCTATCCATATATTTTTTAAGAAGCAACAAACATTAAGATACCCACGAAGGTTTCTGCAGAAATGACGCTTGCTTACTTTTCTTTTACTCAGCTTTTCATGTGTACCAATTTGAACTGTATAAAATTGTCACTTTTGTAGGGAAGAAATGATGGAATGTTGGCAATTCCATGTGGTTTAATGTAACCCTTGGACATAATTCATCCCCCCAATCCCATTACTAGTTAATAAATGTCCAATTCTGGTACTCCTAAGGAAACACCAGCCAGCCTCCCAGGCTTCTCCCCTGAGTGTCCACCTGCCTTCTTGATGTCTCTGCTTTGCTGCAGAGATGCAGAGAGGCAACTCAACACCTGAAACTCAACCACAGTCCTTGTTCATGCTTTTCCCAATCCTGGGCCCCTTGACATCTTCCCGGTTTTGGTAAAGTCAACTCCATCCTGCCAGTGGCTCAGGCTGTCAGGATGAAACTTTTGGAGCCATTTTTAGACCTCTGTAGATCTCACACCACACAGAGAATCCAACAATGCATTCAGTGGAGTCCCTATTCAAAATAGATCCAAAATCCAATTCTCCCAACCTGTGCCCTGCCGCCTTGGTCTACGCCGCTGGGGGTCTGAGCTGCCCTGCCTTGCTCACGGGCTTCCTTCTTCATGCACCTGCGTACTTTCTGGCCCACCTGCGCACAGGCACCCAGGTGAACCTTTTCCGCAGCAACGTGGGCAACGCCTCACTTCTGCTTAGAACTCTCCCCTATCTTCTCATCTCAGCCAGGGTGACTTCTCATTCTCCCCACTGCCAAAAATAAGGCCACAAAACCCTCTGAAAACTTCCCCTAAGCAATTTTCAACATCATCCTCAATCACCATCCTCCACTCTGGCAAAGCCTACAGAAACCTCTACTCAGATGCTAGCCTCTCTCAGCTTGGATGTGTGTTCCTGTTACACACTGGACTGACCTTCCCCGCCTTGTTGCACAAGAAATTCCAGTGTGCCTATCTCACATTCAAAGGTTTCTTTAGCGAAGACAATCACATTGTCACTTCCAGTCCCCAAACACAATGTTTATACTTCTATAATAGTGCTTAGCCCATTGTGGGTTACCATTTTATTAATACAGTGGATTAAGTTACTTGAGGGCAGATGGTCTTTGTTTTCCTAGAACATGACATATAATCAATATCCAACAAGTGTCTGCTAATTAGATATGCGTGAAAATTTTCCACGTGCATAAATGTTGAAAATATTAGTATGACTTTGCATAATGAATACCTCTTCATCTACTGTAAACAATATGCTTTGTAATTGAGCTGAGCTTAATTCAAAATTTTCATAGTAAAGCCTTTAATAAATATGTAACTGCTATTTTAATAATGATACGGTTTGGCTGTGTCCCCACCCAAAACTTATCTTGAATTGTAGCTCCCACAATTCCCACGTATCATGGGAGGGACCCAGTGGGAGGTAATCGAATCATGGGAGCAGGTCTTTCTTCTGCTGTTCTCATGATAGTGAATAAGACTCATGAGATCTCATGGTTTTATAAATGGGAGTTTCCCTGCACAAGCTCTCTCTTCTCTGCCACCATGTAAGATGTGACTTGCAGTCGGAGAAGCCAAGATGAACGAATAGGAACAGCTCCGGTCTACAGCTCCCAGCGTGAACGACACAGAAGATGGGTGATTTCTGCATTTCCATCTGAGCTTTGAAGAGAGCAGTGGTTCTCCCAGCATGCAGCTGGAGATCTGACAACAGGAAGACTGCCTCCTCAAGTGGGTCCCTGACCCCCAAGAAGCCTAACTGAGAGGCACCTCCCAGCAGGGGTAGACTGACACCTCACACGGCCGAGTACTCCAACAGACCTGCATCTGAAGGTCCTGACTGTTAGAAGGAAAACTAACAAACAGAAATGACATCCACACCAAAAACCCATCTGTACATCAACAGCATCAAAGACCAAAAGTAGATAAAACCACAAAGATGGGGAAAAAACAGAGCAGAAAAACTGGAAACTCTAAAAAGCAGAGTGCCTCTCCTCCTCCAAAGGAACACAGTTCCTCACCAGCAACGGAACAAAGCTGAACAGAGAAAGAGTTTGACAAGCTGAGAGAAGAAGGCTTCAGACAATCAAATTACTCTGAGCTACAGGAGGACATTCAAACCAAAGGCAAAGAAGTTGAAAACTATGAAAAAAGTTTAGAAGAATGTATAACTAGAATAACCAATACAGAGAAGTGCTTAAAGGAGCTGATGGAGCTGAAAACCAAAGCTCCAGAACTACGTGAAGAATGCAGAAGCCTCAGGAGCCGATGCGATCAACTGGAAGAAATGGTATCAGTGATGGAAGATGAAATGAATGAAATGAAGCGAGAAGGGAAGTTTAGAGAAAAAAGAATAAAAAGAAACGAGCAAAGCCTCCAAGAAATATGGGACTATGTGAAAAGACTGAATCTACGTCTGATTGTCGTACCTGAAAGAGACAGGGACAATGGAACCAAGTAGGAAAACACTCTGCAGGATATTATCCAGGAGAACTTCCCCAATCTAGCAAGGCAGGTCAACATTCACATTCAGGAAATACAGAGAATGCCACAAAGATACTCCTCGAGAAGAGCAACACCAAGACACATAATTGTCAGATTCACCAAAGGTGAAATGAAGGAAAAAATGTTAAGGGCAGCCAGAGAGAAAGGTTGGGTTACCCTCAAAGGGAAGCCCATCAGACTAACAGCAGATCTCTTGACAGAAACTCTACAAGCCAGAAGAGAGCGGTGGCCAATATTCAACATTCTTAAAGAAAAGAATTTTCAACCCAGAATTTCATATCCAGCCAAACTAAGCTTCATAAGTGAAGGAGAAATAAAATACTTTACAGACAAGCAAATGCTGAGAGATTTTGTCACTACCAGGCCTTCACTAACAGAGCTCCTGAAGGAAGCGCTAAACATGGAAAGGAACAAAAGGTACCAGGCACGGCAAAATCATGCCAAATTGTAAAGACCATCAAGGCTAGGAAGAAACTGCATCAACTAACGAGCAAAATAACCAGCTAACATCATAATGACAGGATCAAATTCACACATAACAATATTAACTTTAAATGTAAATGGACTAAATGCACCAATTAAAAGACACAGACTGGCAAACTGGACACAGAGTCAAGACCCATCAGTGTGCACTATTCAGGAAACACATCTCACGGGTACAGACACACATAGGCTCAAAATGAAAGGATGGAGGAAGATCTACCAAGCAAATGGAAAACAAAAAAAGGCAGGGGTTGCAATCCTAGTCTCTCATAAAACAGACTTTAAACCAACAAAGATCAAAAGAGACAAAGAAGGCCATTACATAATGGTAAAGGGATCAATTCAACAAGAAGGGCTAACTATCCTAAATATATATGCACCCAATACAGGAGCACCCAGATTCATAAAGCAAGTCCTGAGTGACCTACAAAGAGACTTAGACTCCCACACATTAATAATGGGAGACTTTAACACCCCACTGTCAACTTTAGACAGATCAACAAGACAGAAAGTCAACAAGCATACCCAGGAACTTAACTCAGCTCTGCACCAAGCGGACCTAATAGACATCTACAGAACTCTCCACCCCAAATCAACAGAATATACATTTTTTTCAGCACCACACCACACCTACTCCAAAATTGACCACATAGTTGGAAGTAAAGCACTCCTCAGCAAATATAAAAGAACAGAAATTGTAACAAACTGTCTCTCAGACCACAGTGCAATCAAACTAGAACTCAGGATTAAGAATCTCACTCAAAACCGCTCAACTACATGGAAACTGAACAACCTGCTCCTGAATGACTACTGGGTACATAACGAAATGAAGGCAGAAATAAAGATGTTCTTTGAAACCAACGAGAACAAAGACACAACATACCAGAGTCTCTGGGACACATTCAAAGCAGTGTGTAGAGGGAAATTTATAGCACTAAATGCCCACAAGAGAAAGCAGGAAAGATCCAAAATTGACACCCTAACATCACAATTAAAAGAACTAGAAAAGCAAGAGCAAACACATTCAAAAGCTAGCAGAAGGCAAGAAATAACTAAAATCAGAGTAGAACTGAAGGAAATAGAGACACAAAAAACCCTTCAAAAAATTAACGAATCCAGGAGCTGGTTTTTTGAAAGGATCCACAAAATTGGTAGACCACTAGCAAGACTAAGAAAAAAACAGAGAGGAATCAAATAGATACAATAAAAATGATAAAGGGGATATCACCACCAATCCCACAGAAATACGAACTGCCATCAGAGAATACTACAAACACCTCTATGCAAATAAACTAGAAAATCTAGAAGAAATGGATAAATTCCTGGACACATACACTCTCCCAAGACTAAACCAGGAAGAAGTTGAATCTCTGAATAGACCAAAAACAGGAGCTGAAATTGTGGCAATAATCAATAGCTTACCAACGAAAAAGAGTGCAGGACCAGATGGACTCACAACCGAATTCTACCAGAGGTACAAGGAGGAATTTGTACCATTCCTTCTGAAACTATTCCAATCAATAGAAAAAGAGGGAATCCTCCCTAACTCATTTTATGAGGCCAGCATCATCCTGATACCAAAGCCTGGCAGAGACACAACCAAAAAAGAGAATTTTAGACCAATATCCTTGATGAACATTGATGTAAAAATCCTCAATAAAATACTGGCAAACCGAATCCAGCAGCACATCAAAAAGCTTATCCACCATGATCAAGTGGGCTTCATCCCTGGGATGCAAGGCTAGTTCAATATACGCAAATCTATAAATGTAATCCAGCATATAAACAGAACCAAAGACAAAAACCACATGATTATCTCAATAGACGCAGAAAAGGCCTTTGACAAAATTCAACAACCTTTCATACTAAAAACTCTCAATAAATAAGGTATTGATGGGACGTATCTCAAAATAATAAGAGCTATCTATAACAAACCCACAGCCAATATCATACCGAATGGGCAAAAACTAGAAGCATTCCCTTTGAAGACTGGCACAAGACAGGGATGCCCTCTCTCACCACTCCTATTCAACATAGTGTTGGAAGTTCTGGCCAGGGCAATTAGGCAGGAGAAGGAAATAAAGGGTATTCAATTAGGAAAAGAGGAAGTCAAATTGTCCCTGTTTGCAGACGACATGATTGTATATCTGGAAAACCCCACTGTCTCAGCCCAAAATCTCCTTAAGCTGATAAGCAACTTCAGCAAAGTCTCAGGATACAAAATCAATGTACAAAAATCACAAGCATTCTTATACACCAACAACAGACAAACAGAGAGCCAAATCAGGAGTGAACTCCCATTCACAATTGCTTCGAAGAGAATAAAATACCTAGGAATCCAACTTACAAGGGATGTGAAGGACCTCTTCAAGGAGAACTACAAACCACTGCTCAAGGAAATAAAAGAAGATACAAACAAATGGAAGAACATTCCATGCTCATGGGTAGGAAGAATCAATATCGTGAAAATGGCCATACTGCCCAAAGTAATTTACAGATTCAATGCCATCCCCTTCAAGTTACCAATGACTTTCTTCCCAGAATTGGAAAAAACTACTTTAAAGTTCATATGGAACCAAAAAGGAGCCCACATTGCCAAGTCAGTCCTGAGCCAAAAGAACAAAGCTGGAGGCATCAGACTACCTGACTTCAAACTATGCTACAAGGCTACCGTAACCAAAACAGCATGGTACTGGTACCAAAACAGAGATATAGATCAATGGAATAGAACAGAGCCCTCAGAAATAACGCCGCATATCTACAACTATCTGATCTTTGACAAACCTGAGTAAAACAAGCAATGGGGAAAGCATTCCCTATTTAATAAATGGTGCTGGGAAAACTGGCTAACCATATGCAGAAAGCTGAAACTGGATCCCTTCCTTACACCTTATACAAAAATCAATTCAAGATGGATTAAAGACTTAAACATTAGACCTAAAACCATAAAAACCCTAGAAGAAAACCTAGGCATTACCATTCAGGACATAGGCATGGGCAAGGACTGCATGTCTCAAACACAAAAAGCAAAGGCAACAAAAGCCAAAATTGACAAATGGGATCTAATTAAACTGAAGAGCTTCTGCACAGCAAAAGAAACTACCATCAGAGTGAACAGGCAACCTACAAAATGGGAGAAAATTTTCACAACCTACTCATCTGACAAAGGGCTAATATCCACAATCTATAATGAACTCAAACAAATTTACAAGAAAAAAACAAACAACCCCATCAAAAAGTGGGCAAAGGACATGAACAGACACTTCTCAAAAGAAGACATTTATGCAGCCAAAAAACACATGAAAAAATGCTCATCATCACTGGCTATCAGAGAAATGCAAATTGAAAACCACAATGAGATACCATCTCACACCAGTTGGAATGGCAATCATTAAAAAGTGAGGAAACAACAGGTGCTGGAGAGGATGTGGAGAAATAGGAACACTTTTACACTGTTGCTGGGACTATAAACTAGTTCAACCATTGTGGAAGTCAGTGTGGACATTCGTCAGGGATCTAGAACTAGAAATACCATTTGACCCAGCCATCCCATTACTGGGTATATACCCAAAGGAATATAAATCATGCTGCTATAAAGACACATGTACACGTATGTTTATTGTGGCATTATTCACAATAGCAAAGACTTGGAACCAACCCAAATGTCCAACAATGATAGACTGGATTAAGAAAATGTGGCACATATACACCATGGAATACTATGCAGCCTTAAAAAATGATGAGTTCATGTGCTTTGTAGGGACATGGAAGAAATTGGAAATCATCATTCTCAGTAAACTATCGCAAGAACAAAAAACCAAACACCGCATATTCTCACTCAAAGGTGGGAACTGAACAATGAGAACACGTGAACACAGGAAGGGGAACATCACACTCTGGGGACTGTTGTGGGGTGGGGGGAGGGGGGAAGGACAGCATTGGGAGATATACCTATTGCTAGATGACAAGTTAGTGGGTGCAGCGCACCAGCATGGCACATGTATACATATGTAACTAACCTGTACGTTGTGCACATGTACCCTAAAACTTACAGTATAATAATAATAAATAAAAAATTAAAAAAAAAAAGAAAAAAAGATGTGACTTGCTCCTGCTTACCTTCTGCCATAATTGTGAGGCCTCCCCAGCCATGTGAAACTGTGAGTCAATTAAAACTCTTTTCTTTATAAATTACCCAGTCTTGGGTATGTCTTTATCAGCAGCATGAAAACAGACTAATACAAATAGCAAAGTTCCTTCCCCTCTGGATTATTTTACATCCACTGTTGATAAATAGTTTAAAGTAAATGGTTTTGTATGTTTATTATCAGAAGTACTTGATACTGTAGACTTGCTTTGATGAGTAAAGAACACATTATACCTATATAATAAAAGGGCTGCATCTGTGTCGACCTGTTAAGTGTTATAATTCTTGATAAAGTTCTTTTACTCTTGATCACTTAAAATTTTGATACCAGTTGGAAATCAGGCAGAATAGTTTTATGAAGTTCAATGGTCATTTTTTAAGTAACCATAGTTTTTAATCTATCACCTGGTAAATTTTCTTCATTAAAACTGATCATTTTTTTTCACTGCTTTAAAATAATCTTGAGGCAGCAACAACTGTCTAGTAAGAGGATGGAAAGGCCAGGTGCAGTGGCTCATGCCTGTAATCCCAGGACTTTGGGAGGCCAAGGCAGACGGATCACAAGGTCAGGAGTTCAAGGCCAGCCTGGCCAACATGGTGATACCCCATCTCTACTAAAAATAAAAAGATAAAAAAATTAGCAAGGCATGGTGGCATGTGCCTGTAATCCCAGCTACTTGGGAGTCTGAGGTAGGAGAATCGCTTGAACCCGGGAGGCAGAGGTTGCAGTGGGCCAAGACAGTGCCACTGTACTTCGCCCTGGGCAACAGAGCAAGACTCCATCTCAAAAAAAAAAAAAAAAAAAAAGAAGAGGTTAGAGAAAGTCCTTGCTCATCTTCCATGCTTCATGTCTACGTGCATGTTGATGGCCATCAATGGAGTAGGGTTGTGACCTAAACTTTGCTTTATGTGCGTTTACCTTCACTTTATGGAAGACTAAATTTTCTCCACTAGAAAAAGGAGCTTTAGAGGCTCATGAGATATCCAAACCCCATTAAAGGTCCACTGTCCTGCCAGCTCTGCACAGCATGTAAAACAGAAGGACATGAACTGACTACTGCAATTATGTTAATTGTAATCAGCCTGACACTTTTCATTAAAGCTTAATTACCATTTAATCATGCATAAAACTCACGAAAATGGAGTTCAGCACACAAAGCTGACCTTTACTCTGGGGGTTAAATAAACGCTCAGTGTGGCACTGTCAGCTCCCCCAGTCCCAGGGAAAAATGGCTCTGCAACCATGTTTCATTCTCAGGTTTTGCGAGATTGATTTCTCCGTAAATAGTGGTAGTAATGTAACAGCTACATGACACCTCTCCCTACTTTATTGAAAGATAACTTAATAGGTGCATTTTCATTTTAAAACATCATTTGTTGTTTATTACAGGAGAGGCCTTTGGTGCTGCCCATGGCAGAACAGGCTGGGACTGTTTTATGGGAGAAAACCAGCCGTAAGCCTGTGTGGTTGATGGTCCAAGTTTCTCTGCCTATGAAGGGCAGCACAAGACAAGCGTAGCTGGAGCCATCGCTCCCCTCTGCTCTCGGCATCTTCCTCATGGGACTGGCAGAGAACTGGCCGCACATTTTTATGATTGACCACTTAGGATCATAGATTGTGAACAGCATAGGCCCAAAGACAGCTGCATTCAGCTTTCCGTCCCGTGGACACCTGGTCCATGACACAGATACGAAGAATGCGTGTTGAATTGATTGAAAGTAAGATGCTGGTTTAGCTGAAGTTCTAAGTCTTGTATACTGGGGGATGACAGGATTTTAGCTCTGATTCATTTTCTCTAACATTAGCGAGATTGATTACAAATCGAAGGAGAGAATCAAGACATGTAAAATGGCACTTCTCCTATTCTTGAGGATGGAGGTTTAATACTTATTACTCAATAGAATATCAGCTTCTTTCTATAAAAAATACTAGCTGGAATATCACTTATGGCCACCTTTCTGCTAATATGAATCCAGCTCATGTTGGAAGGGTGTTTGTCCATACCTCAGGCAACAGTCATTTCAGGCCCCACTGTCCCCCAGGACCCTGGGCATAAAATTTTCTGATAAGTCTCAAACTCCCAATCAACACAGGAGTAGGTAGGCAGAGGTAGACAACAGTACCCCATGGAGAAAGAAATGGTCCACATTTAATTCACTGGATTATCACAATGTCTTTAAAAACATGTTATTCGGAAATAAATTGTTTCAGTAATGAGAACACAAAAAATGCCAGTCACCAAGACAAACATTAAAATGAACCATCTGGGCCTGGCACGGTGGCTCACGCCTGTAATCCCAGCACTTTAGGAGGCCGAGGTGGGCGGATGAGGTCAGGAAATTGAGACCATCCTGGCTAACACGGTGAAACCCTGTCTCTACTAAAAATACAAAAAAATCAGCTGGGCGTGGTGGCGGGCACCTGTAGTCCCAGTTACTCGGGAGGTTGAGGCAGGAGAATGGTGTGAACCTCGGAGGCGGAGCTTGCAGTGAGCTGAGATCACGCTCCAGCCTGGGTGACAGAGCAAAACTCCGTCTCAAAAAAAAAAAAAAAAAAAAAAAAATAGGAAATGAACCATCTGACCACACCCTGATGGGAGAAAGTCGCCCTGGCCTCATTGTGTGCATGATGGCACTAGTGTAATCATTCTGAAGCAACAAACTTACCATTCGATATTCACTCATTCATTCATTCATTCATTCAGATATCAGTTCATACATTCACCTACAAATATCCCGTCTCTTCCTATTGTGCCCTGAGTACCCCATGGGCATTGGAGATCAATGCTGTGGAAGGCAAAGATTGGCCCGTCCCTCATAAAACTACCAGGAAGGGCAGACAGAGGCAACTGAGCCCACACAGGGCAATGACCCTGTCTTCATGGAATCCTGTTCCCCTCTGGCATAATCCTCATTTCTGAGGCTCTGCCCTCTGCTGCCCTTTGATCTCCCACCCCAGTGAGTTAGGACTCTATGCAGGTCCCTATGGCCCTGCCAGGGTCCTGCACATCCCGTCAATGGTTGGCCCAGCTGGGTGACATCAGCCCCGGCCTCTGCACCCCTTGGTCTCCCCGCTCCACTCCCATCAGCTGCTGTGGGAGGCATGTAGTGTGCCCCACCCACCGGGTAACCCAAAACATCAGATGTCAGCCCGTTACTCTATACTGCTGCTTCTCTTTCCATCCCTGCTTCCTCACTGTATGTTGGCTCTTTGCTTTTGCCGGGACACATTTCTTTCCTATCAGCAGCGATGCCATCCTCAAAGTCTCTTACCAGTGTGTTACATTCCCTTGTGCTGGAAGCTCCCTGGCCCAGCATCTGCCTGGATTCTCTCCTCTGGACTCCGGAGAGCTCCTGAGGAAACCTCACGCCTGGCAGCTTGTTTACCAGTGTACATGCACGGCCACCAACCACGCAACTGCTCAACTGCCATCATCTATTGTTGCAGCGAAGCCTTGCTCCAACGCACCTTTGTATTTCAAATCTTCCAATGCATCAACACCCCTTTCGTACGCGATAGATGATCTTGTGGGATATGACCCAGTGGGATATCACGCCTTGTGAGACGCAAAGCTATCAGGGGGTTTCCCTTCACTTCCTTCCAACGGTCATGCAAGCTAGCAGTGAGCCACTGTTTCTCACTCCTGTTACCTGGGAATTCTGACCCCTCTCCCAGGCAGTGGTGGTCCTCCAGCAGACATTCCCGCTGGCTGCCGCGGGACGACCTCTGGGTGGAAGCCTCTTTCTCTCCTGATTTTCACCCTTCCCTCTCTCTGGCTTCTTGCTTCTTGTATGTAAATATGCTCAAGTCTCTGACATTTAAAAATAATACCTAAAACTACCATCGTTCACATATGAGTGTCAGCTTGTTTGTCTTCTCCTTTTAGAGCAAAATTTTATACCTTAGTCTATGTTGGCTGTCTGCATTTCTTGACCTCTAAGTTATTCCACAACCCAGCTGGTTTTGTGTTTCTACACTCATCACTCTGTGATTACTGCTCTTGTCACTGTCATAAATACCATGCACCTCAACCAATTCATCTGAGGGTGGTCCTTTTTTTTTTTTTTTGATTTTTTTTAAGACAGTGTCTCACTCTTTCGCCCAGGCTGGAGTGCAGTGGTATAATCTCAGCTCACTGCAAACTCTGCCTCCTGGGTTCAAGCGGTTCTCCTGCCTTAGCCTCCTGAGTAGCTGGGATTACAGATGCTTGCCACCATGCCTGGCTTTTTTTTTTTTTTTTTTTTTTTTGAGAGGGAGTCTCACTCTGCCACCAGGCTGGAATGCAATGGCATGATCTCGGCTCACTGCAACCTCTGCCTCCTGGGTTCAAGTGATTCTCCTGCCTCAGCCTCCCAAGTAGCTGGGATTACAGGTGCCTACCACCATGCCCGGCTAATTTTTGTATTTTTCATAGAAATGGGGTTTTGCCATGTTAGCCAGGCTGGTCTCAATCTCCTAGTCTCAGGTGATCCACCCGCCTCAGCCTCCCACAGTGCTGGGATTACAGGTGTGAGCCACTGTGCCCGGCCGGGTGGTTCTCTTAAACGGCCCCTTGCAGAACTGTGGTGCTACTGCCTTTCCGCCTTACAACCCTCTTTCGTCTAGGTTTTCATGATCATCCCGGGAGCCCCCTGACTCCCTGGCCACTATTTTGCCTCTTGTCTTCTGCTTGCCCTTGAGAGGCAGGTGTCCTGGAGGGTTGGTCTCAGGACATCAGGTCTGCTTTCTGCACATACTCTCTCTTTGCAAATTAATTTTTCCCCCAGGCATGGACATGGATTCATAAGGTAATAACTTCAAAGCTCTCTATTTCCAGCTCATGTCTACCTCATGAACCTGTAAGATGCCAATTAGATAAGTTCATTTGAACATCTTGCAGACATCTAAAAATAACGCATCCAAAACTGGACCCCTTTCCCTGGCCAAGTGCTGAATTTCCTGCTTGTGGCCTCCAAGGAGATGGAGAAGCTGATCTCAGTCCGCTTTTCTCTTCCCCACCTGAGCTACTGCATCACCCAGGTCTCCACCAAGCAAAACCCTAGTCTGAAGGACTGTGTGGAGGGTGCAACTGCATCAAAGTCATGCTGAAGAAAGGCCATGCTGGCAGAAGGAAAGGTAAAAGCTAGGGCCCTGCTTTGAGAAAAAAACCTCTTCAGATTCTCACTTATATTAGAATAAAATCCTAGCACGACCTCATGTTGGCCAGCACTGGGCTTCTCCACCTTCACTCCTCTCCTTCACTCTTGGTTCCTGACAGATTATTTCTTTGCTGTTTTTGAGCCTTCAAATTCCCAGGTAACAGGAGTGTGCTACTCCCTCTCTCTAAGACTCACTCCCTTCTCCAGCCCCTTCTGTTCTCATGACAGGTTGCGGTTAAACACCACTCTGTTTAGGAAACGTCTCTGATCCCTGAGAGTAAATAACGACCCATTTAATATGATTCTTACACTCCCCCCTTCACAAGATTCATAGAAATTATCTTTATCACGCTTGGCTGTTGCTGAATATCGTGCGTGCACAGGTCATACATACTTCGCACTGATTTCTGCGTTTACCATTTCTTCCTCCTCTGCCTCACATTTGACACTTAGTAGCATTTTGTCTTCCCTTGTTTTTTCATTATTTCTTCGTTATGTGTCTGTGCTTATTTTCTGATTCTTATTTTTTAGTTATTGGTTCTAGTGAGAGTGTAAATTCCTTAAATATTTTTAATATCTCTGCTCTAATAGTGACAATCCTTAACATGGTGCCAGCTACAAGAGCAGCTATTCAACAGATTTGTGTTGAATTGCCTTCTGAAGTGCCCTAAAGATGCTTTTCCCATATAATTTAAATTCTCACAGAGGTGGTTAAAATACAGCTGGGGTGCAGACCCTGGTAATATACTTAGCAGCATTCATCGTTATTAAAGAATATATAAGCTATACCGATGTTAGCAATTCTGACACTGAGTACAAGAAAAATGTATACACACACAGGCCACACACACCCACACACAGCCCACCCACACATATAGTATCAGTATAGTTTTTACAGTAGGCAAAACAGAGGCACTGTTTCTGGCCTGGGTTTAGCCTCATCTTTACTAGCTATGTACCCTTAATCATGTAGATTAAACTCTATTAGCAATCATTTCCTAGTTAATTAAGTTAAATTAGGACACAATACTCTTTTTACGACCCCACAGTTTTGATGAGTACTTCCCTTAGAAGAAAGAAACACAAAAGCAGTTCGATTTATACGTTTTCTGCAAATATAAATGATTGTTAATATTTATTCTCTGTTCTAGAGGCATATCCACTCCAGGGAAGCATTACGTGGTAAATGATTCAGTGTGCAGTTCTCAAATTAGATTTTTCCCTCTCTTTGGCCTCCTGATCACCTCACTCGATTCAAACTGACAGAAATAAGATTCTCCTGACACTTGTGTGGCAAAAAGGCACATAGCGAGTGGAATTTTGACTTAGAAACAGGAAAAGATAGAACACAAGTAAATAGCACTGTATCACACTAATGTTATAATACCAGATCTTCACATTACTACGCCACCTGAGGTTTCCATAACATAATGAAATTCCAAACCAGGTACTTATTGTTAATAAAGAACTGGTGAATTCGCAGAGAATGTTTCCTAAGAAATCTAATAATTACTTCCTCACCTCAAGTCTGCCTTGTGTCAATATACAGATTTTTATTGTTCATACCTGCTAGAAAGCTGGGAATCAGTTTAATCATATTATTGAGGTGAATAAATGTTTAGAAAAGGATCTCTGGGAAATAAAGTTTGAATTTTCAAATTTCGTTTCATTGTTACTATGAAAAAAACTGAAGTCTCTTTAAATAAACAAATTAAGGATCTTTCAGTTTCATGAGGATGCAAAAAATAGAATTTTATGCTGCATTCAAAGTTTAAATGTTAGCGTTACCATTAGGTAAAAAGTGTTTTTAAAATAACTTTAAACAGTGTACTATTTTTACACATCAAAGAAGAGACATACTTGGTTTTCCCACAGATGTCTAATCTTCACATGATGAAAGCAAAACTATTAGTGTCTTTGTGTCAGAGAAGTCACAATTCATTTATTAAAGAAAGTTAGTTGACTTTACAATGCCATCTTAAGAACTTAATTGGGATAAGTGATTCAAATACTATTGTGAACAGTATTCACTTATCCTATTTTTATGTTTTACATTTTCTAATTTGGGTAACTATATGTTATCAATCTCTCAAAAATATAATTTCATACTAAAAATATTAAAACATTTATTTGTAAGAAATTTCAAAAATTACTTGAATGTATTACCAAAAATGAACATTTACTATAGACCAGTAATATTCTCTTTCCAATAACTGATTATAAGGCTCTTTGAATTCATCTGAGATAAACAAAGACCCAATGTATCCATATATACATAGGGGAATTAGAATACAACTGTAACAGTGGATGAAGCAAGGCCTGGCACGGTGGCTCATGCCTGTAATTCCAGCACTTTGGCAGGTCAAGGCAGGCAGATCACTTGAGGCCAGGAGTTCGAGACTAGCCTGGCCAACATGGTGAAACCCCATTTTATCTAAAAACACAAAAATTAGCCAGATGTGGTGGCACACACCTGTAATCCCAGGTACTCGGGAGGCTGAGGCAGGAGAATCGCTTGAACCCAGGAGGCAGGGGTTGCAGTGAGCTGCGATCATGCCACTGCACTCCAGCCTGGACAACAAAGTGAAACTCTCTGAAAAAAAATAACAGTTGATGATGCAAGAGAAAACATATAAGGACAATTATTACACAAAGTAGGTGACATATGAATTCAAAAATGAGAATTTATGGGTCAAGGAGATTTATTGCCTAGCTTAATAACTGTAATGTCCATAATACTTCTTGAATATTACGTCTTTTAATTAACAACAAACTTTTTCATAGGATTCCTACTGAGTTTTCTCTTGCAATGAAGTTCACATTCCCTCTTGTACAAAATAAAAGTAATTTACTTATTTCTATTACATACATTTTTGTAGATTGTAGAATTCATTTACTTATGTTTAATAGGTATACATTATGGCATGTTTTTATAACTATTAAGTACTTGTTAAACACTAAGCTTATTAAAGGACATTTTCCACTATGAGACATTACAATGAACTCTCGAGGGGCAGATTACACCAGGTATTCCATGTTTGCTTGAATAATGTCACTTATTCTGTCTATACCTCTACTTTAATACCTGTGCTTCCACTGACTATAATCTTTCACATTTTCAGAGGTTTTAACAGGGAATCTTTGTCCTTTGATTTTTTCTTTTTCTTTTTTTTTTCATTTGGCCCGAAGTAATAGCATTTATAGCGCCTCTTGGATAAACAGTAATTATGTTAACTGGAAAGGACACTTTCTTTGGTTTAGTATTTATTATTATTCCAAGAGAATGGTCATTATCCCCAGCAATGGGTGATGCTGAAAATGGATACTGTCATCTTCAGATTTACCAATATTTGTCAGGAGTTTCACAATCATGAGATTCATATTGCCTTCTATCACAAAGGTACATTCAGAAATACATGACTTCTGTGACGCTTATTGGCAATGTTTTAACCTCTCGGAATTTTGAAATTAACTATGTGTGTGTATATATATATATATATATATATATATATATATATATATATATATATTCATATGAGCATAATTTTAGAAATAAAATGGTTTGCATTCACTGTCCATAATTCAAATGAATACTGCAACTCAGACATACATAACCTTTACTTTTTTAATTGAACTTGTTTTACTTTGGGGTAATCATAGATCCACTTAGAGTGGCAACAAATAAAACAGAGACCCTGTGCACACTTTACCCAGTTTCCCCCAAGAGTAACATCCTGTAGAACTAGAGTTCACTATCACAGCCCACGCGTTGACATTGATACTATCAATAAGTAGGACATTTCCCCCAGGAATAGGATCCCACAGGCTGCTCTTTGATAGCCGTACCCATTGACCTCGGCCCGCATGCCTTCGTAATCCCTGGCAGCCATTCATCTATTCTGTACTTCCAGACTTTTGATCATTTCACAAATGTGCTGTGGAGGGAATCAGGCAGTGTGTCGTCTCTCGGACTGGCCTCTTCATTCAGTACCTTTCTGTGGGTGCTGATGGGGCCGGCTTGTTGCATGAATCCAGGGCATATTCCTTTAGATTCCTGCAGAGAACTCCAGGGAATGGAGGCAGCAGTTGGTTTAATCACTCACCGCCGAAGGACACCTGGGTAATTTCCAGATTGGGACTCCTATGAGTACAGCTGTGATGAACATTCACGCGCAGGTTTTCTTTTCAAAATTATTTTATTTTTCTGTAAGTTTTTGGGGTTCAGGTGGTATTTGGTTACACGAGTAAGTTCTTCAGTGGTGATTTGTAGGATTTTGGCGCACCCATCACCCAAGCCGTATATACTGCACCATATTTGTTATCTTTATCATGGGAACGTAAGTTTCTATTTCTCTGAGATAAATGCCCAAGAATGCAATTGCAGAATTGAATGTTTTGCTTTTAACTGCCAAATAATTTTCCAGAATGGCTGTACCATTTTACATTCTCACCAGCAACGCGTACGTGATTCTGTTTTTCTGCCTCCTATGCAACATTTGATATTTTACAGACGATATAAAATTGTCTATGGTATTTACATCATTTAGAAAACATATATAGTAGAAATTTTAAATTTAAGTGTGCTTATAAGGATGCAGTGATATCTCTGCATTTATTTGCTTAATGGCTACTAATTTAGAGCATCTTTTCATGTTTTATAGTTCTCACCTGTGTTTCCTCTACAGTGAAAGGTTTTTTTTGGTATTTGTTTGTTGTTGTTGTTGTTCCTTTTCCCATTTTCTAATGGGATTTTATTTTTCTTTACTCTTCAGTCTTGAGCATTCTTTATATTTTTAAGACACTAGTCTGTTGTCAGATACGTGGCTTTCAAGCATTTTCTCCCAGTCTGTAGCTTGTCTTTCCATCCTCTTCACAGGGTCTTTTTTAGAGCAAAAGCTTTTCTGTTTTGATGAAGTCTCATTTATTCATTTTGGCTTTTATGGATTGTGCTTCTGTTGTCAAGTCGAAGAGCCCCTTGCCTAACTCTTGAGGTAGGTCGAGGTTCTCATTTTGTTTTGTGTAATACTCAAGAACCACGTATTACTTTGGAAAATATAAAGAAAGGGATTGTCAAAAATGTTTCTCTCCCTAAGCACTGGAGCCATCCTCAGCCTCTGCTCTTCGAGGGGGGTTTGTTCTCGGTGGACCCTCTCTGTAGTTATTGAAGCACTCTGACATTTTCAGAAATGAAATGAGGAATGTTTATCCTTAATTAGGTGGAACGTTCTTGTATCCATGCCACTGTCTTTCCTCTGGAGTCTGGGCTGAGTTGATGCACCCCGATGGGGCTGGAGGATATACTCCTTCTATGTGTTTTCCAAACCTGTTCGGCCACTGAAACACGGAGGCACCCGACACAAAACTCCAGCTGCTGGTTCCCATTGATCCTGCAACACCCAAAGCCAGGGAGCCTCACAGAGGTGGCGTTTCTATTCTGGGCGAGGATCTCACCCTGAAGAGCAACTTTGAGAAAATGATAACCTAGTTATATGCATAAAGAGTTCAATTCAGGGTGAGGAAGCAGATAATAAAGCACTTTTTCAATTTGCTTAACTCAAAGACATGAGAATTAATGGGAAAGAGCAAGGTAAGGGAAATGCCATATACATGCAAAGAAAAATGCCATATAAATGCAAAAAAATTATTTCATAATTATAGTTCTGTACCGGGGAGGAGCAAACCTTTTCCCTGAAGAGTCAGAGAGTAGCTATTTTAGGCTTTGCAGGTCCTGTGGTCTCCAAGGCAGGTCCTCAGCTCTGTGGCTGTGTAGCCCAAAGGCAGCTACAGACAACGCATGTATGAGTGGTCAGAGATGTGTTTGAATTTCATGTGTCATAAATTAATATTTTATTTTGATATTTTTTAACCATTTAAAAAATGTAAAACCATTCTTAGCTTTCAAGCTACAATACTAGCTGATGGGCCAGATTTGATTTCCAGTATACAGTTTGCCAACTCATGTTTTAGACCATTTAACACAAAATCAATCAGTGAGTGCTTTAGTATTTGCATTAGACTCACCAATTTAGTAAATTTCAGGATGGGGTAGAAACTCCAGTATTTCACTTGTATACATATTAAAATCTCGAGGAGGAATTTGTCATGTCAAATGAGAAAAGACACATCATGTTTAACAACTAATCATTGTAATGGAGTTGTAATGTCATTTTAAATAAAATAACCTACCCCTTACAGACAAAGAAAAGCTAATATCAGACTGAAAATTTCAATTCTTTTGAATACTTAAGAATGATATGCATCCTGGGTTCTCATTCATTCATTCATTCACTCATTCATTCAGGCCATCAGGATTACTGAGTGTCCGTAAACCTGCAGCCTCCATGCTGAGAGCTAAGCAGGACTGAGTGAACGAAGTCAAGATTCCTGCTTTGCAGAGCTCACATGCTAACTAGAAATCCATGAGTTTTCAAAGAAACTCATAAATGCATACGTCTTCCATTCTGTAATCAGGTTATTAATTTTAGAAAACGCCTTTCAGATTATTTAGGTGTCTTTGTTAATACCTGGAATATGAGTCCATACTAATAAGAATGTTTTCAGCTCAATATGGCCCTAGCCCTTGGAATAATAATTTGTCTTGTCATAAAAGCTGTGGTTAAGATACCTGCTTTATATATAAGTAGCAGGTGCCCTTGGCTTCCCTAGAGCTCTGGAGTACCTTTGTGCCTAACCTAGATTCATCACCCAGCTATTAAGCCTAGTACCCATTAGTTATTTTTCCTGATCCTCTCCCTTTTCTCACTTTCCACCATCCGGGAGACCGCAGTGTCTATTGTTCCCCTTTATGTGTCCATGTGTTCTCATCGTTTAGCTCCCAGTTATAAATGAAAACATGCAGTATTTGGTTTTCTCTTCCTGCATTTGTTTGCTAAGAATAATGGCCTCCAGCTCCATCCATGTTCCTGTAAAGGACATGATCTCATTCTTTTTTAAAGCTGCATAGTATTCCATGGTGTATATGTACCATGTTTTCTTTATCCAGTCTATCACTGATGGGCATTTAGGTTGCTTCCATGGCTTTGCTGTGGTGAATAGTGCTGCACTGAACATATGCATGCATGTGTCTTTATAATAGAATGATTTTATTCCCTTGGGCATATACCCAATAATGGATTGCTAGGTCCAATGATATTTCTGTCTTTAGGTCTTTGAGGAATCACCACACTGTCTTCCATAATGGTTGAACTAATTTACATTTGCACAAACAGTATTTAAGTGTTCCTTTCTCTCCACAACCTCACCAGCATCTTTTATATCTCGGTTTTTCAGTAATAGCCATTGTAACTGGTGTGAGATGGTATCTCATTTTGGTTTTAATTTGCATTTCTCTAACGATCAGTGATGGTGAGCTTTTTTCCACGATTGTTGGCAACATGTATGTCTTCTTTTAAAAAGTGTCTGTTCATGTCCTTTGTCCATGTTTTAATGGGGTTGTTTTTGTCGTGTAAATTTGTCCAAGTTCCTTATAGATGCTGGATATTAGACATTTTTCAGATGCATATTTTGGAAAAATTTTCTCCCTTTCTTTAGGTTGTCTGTTTACCCTGTTCATTCTCATATTCTGTCTTTCATATCCCACATGCAGCCCATCCAGAAACCTTATTGGACATACCTATAAAATTTATGAGAATGGGGCCCTGTCTGTCTACTCGACACCATCTCCCATGGCTGAGTCTCCTCCAATCTCCTGCCGTGCCCCTGCAATAGCCTTCCACCTGGTCTCACGGCCTCTCCATGGTCTGTCCTGAACACAGTGGCTACATTAATTCTTTAAAATATAAGCTTCACGCCCTTGTAACATTTTCAGAACCCAGCAATGGCCCCTGGATCACTGAGTCAAGCCCCAAGTCCCTTGCAGCTGCCTGCAATTCTCCCCTCACCCCACCCACCGATCGCCCTCACACCTCCCTTGGAAGCCTCATCATCCACCCCCTTCTCAGCTCCAGCCCCAGAAATGTCCATGCTTCTCCAACAAGGCTCTAGGCCCACCGTTTAGGGTCTTTGATAGAAACTTCAGTTCTCCTTCTCAGTAGCCTTGGCCCCAGGTACCCGCAAGGCTGATTCTGTCTCTATCTTAAAATATGTGTCATCATCTCAGGGGAACTTCCATGACCAGCCCACCTGAAATCACCACCAACTGCCCCCCAGCACTCTCAGTGCCATCGACACTCCTGTCTTCTTTATCCCAACGCACTGTCACTGTCCATATCCATAATATTTCATTTATTACTTGGTTGTATTTTGTATTGTTATCTCCTCCCTTGAGAATCTAACCTCCACAAGGAAAGAGATCCTAATTTGTTGATTGATGTGTCCCAAGTGAGTAGAACTGACATGCAGTAGGCACTCAGAAGTTTTCTGTTTGTTTTGAGATGGAGTTTCACTCTTATAGCGCGGGCTGGAGTGCAGTGGCACGGTTTTGGCTTGCTGCGAACTCTGCCTCCCAGGTTGAAGCGATTCTCCTGCCTCAGCCTCCTGAGTAGCTGGGATTACAGATGGATGCACCACCAAACCCAGCAAATTTTTGTGTTTTTAGCGGAGATGGGGTTTCACCATGTTGGCCAGGCTGGTCTCAAACTCCTGACCTCAAGTGATCCACCCACCTTGGCCTCCCAAAGTGCTGGGATTACAGGCATGAGCCACTGTACCTGGCCCTCAGAAGTATTTCTGAATGAAGGAATAAATGAATGAATAGTAATGAAAATTCTCTTACAAATATTTTATTTTCTCTTCTCAATTTACTGAGTTTTAGATAATGTAAAATTTTGTTAGTTAACATTCTATTTTTGCATTGTGAATTTTTTTGGCTAAGAGTTGAAAAATCTCCTCCTAACATAACTACCTTGGAAAGGAAAAATTAAAATAAGAATCCTGTGACTCAGAGTGTTCTTACAAGAAAAGATGCCTTTGGTTAAATAACATACACAAGATGTCCCTTTTCTGAGTCAGGATTTAAACATGCAGACATCAAAGGTGGACTTTCTGGGTGTTGACAGGCATATGGGTGGCTGCAGGATCCAGTTCTGGAAGTGTGGGTGTTCTTGCAAGGCACACATGTTGGAAGTGGGATTCAGAGTCAAAAGTAAGAAACAGCCAGTGTTGTTGGTTCATTTGTCAGGAGACATAAAGCAAAAGGGGCAAGATTATAGCTTTTTTAGTGCATGCAATAAATCCTAAAGGAGATGTCTTTTATATATCTATAGATATAGTAGCTAGATCTGAAGCATCAATAAAAAGTTAGGAGAAGGGGACAATGAACTTATTTCGGGATGGCTGCAACATGTACTGCTGGGGCACAGTGTCTGCCTACTGCCATTGTTACAACAGTTGTGGTTTGTTTCCTTCCTTTCTTTCCTTCCTTTCTTCTCTTTTTTTTTTTTTTTTCTTGAGACTTAGTCTTGCTCTGTCAAACAATATCAGCCCACTGAAACCTCTGCCTCCCAGGTTCAAGCAATTCTCCTGCCTCAGCCCCCTGAGTAGTTGGGATTACAGGTGCCACCACCACGCCCAGCTAATTTTTATATTTTTAGTACAGAGGAGGTTTCACCATGTTGGCCAGGCTGGTCTGGAACTCCTGACCTCAGGTGATTGGTCTGCCTCAGCCCCCCAAAGTCCTGGGATTACAGGTGTGAGCCACCTCACCCGGCTCAGTCATTGTCTTCTATAAAAATGTGTACTTGGATGGGAGCCAAGATGGCCGAATAGGAACAGCTCCAGTCTACAGCTCCCAGCATGAACGATGCAGAAGATGGGTGATTTCTGCATTTCCAACTGAGGTACCAGGTTCATCTCACTGGCGAGTGTCGGAAAGTGGGTGCAGGACAGTGGGTGCAGCACACCAAGTGTGAGCCAAAGCAGGATGAGGCATCACATCACCCGGGAAGCACAAGAGGTCAGGGAATTCCCTTTCTAGTCAAAGAAAGTGTTGACAGACAGCACCTGGAAAATCCGGTCACTCCCACCCTAATACTGCACTTTCCCAATGGGCTTAGCAAACGGCACACCAGGAGATTATATCCCGTGCATGGCTCAGAGGGTCCTACGCCCACAGAGCCTTGCTCATTGCTAGAACAGCAGTCTGAGATCAAACTGCAGGGCTGCAGCAAGGCTGGGAGAGGGGCGTCCACCATTGCACAGGCTTGAGTAGGTAAACAAAGCAGGTGGGAAGCTCGAACTGGGTGGAGCCCACCACAGCTCAAGGAGGCCTGCCTGCCTCTGTAGGCTCCACCTCTGGGGGCAGGGCACAGACAACAAAAGGCAGCAGAAACCTGTGCAGACTGAAATGTCCCTGTCTGACAGCTTTACATAGAGTAGTGGTTCTCCCAGCACACAGCTTGAGATCTGAGAATGGACAGACTGCCTCCTCAAGTGGGTCCCTGTCCCCCGAGAAGCCTAACTGGGATGCATCCCCCAGTAGGGGCAGACTGACACCTCACACGGCTGGGTACACCCCTGAGAAAAACTTCCAGAGGAATGGTCAGGCAGCAACATTCGCTGTTCACCAATATCCACTGCTCTGCAGCCTCTGCTACTGATACCCAGGCAAATAGGTTCTGGAGTGGACCTCCGCAAACTCCAAGAGACCGGCAGCTGAGGGTCCTGACTGTTACAATGAAAACTAACAAACAGGAAGGACATCCACACCAAAACCCCATCTGTACATCACCATCATCAAAGACCAAAGGTAGATAAAACCACAAAGATGGGGAAAAAACAGAGCAGAAAAACTGTAAACTCTAAAAATCAGAGCACCTCTCCTCCTCCAAAGGAAATCAGCTCCTCACCAACAATGGAACAAAGCTGGATGGAGAATGACTTTGACAAGTTGAGAGAAGAAGGCTTCAGACTAGCAAACGACCCCGAGCTAAAGGAGGAAGTTTGAACCCATGGCAAAGAAGTTAAAAACCTTGAAAAAAAATTACATGAATGGCTAACTAGAATAACCAATGCACAGAAGTCCTTAAAGGACCTGACGGAGCTGAAAACCAAGGCTCGAGAACTAAGTGACAAATGCACAAGTCTCAATAGCCAATTCGGTCAACTAGAAGAAAGGGTATCAGTGATGGAAGATCAAATGAATGAAATGAAGTGAGAAGAGAAGTTTAGAGAAAAAAGAATGAAAAGGAACAAAGCCTCCAAGAAATATGGGACTATGTGAAAAGACCAAATCTACGTCTGATTGGTGTACCTGAAAGTGACAGGGAGAATGGAACCAAGTTGGAAAACACTCTGCAGGATATAAACCAGGAGAACTTCCCCAATCTAGCAAGGCAGGCCAACATTCACATTCAGGAAATACAGAGAATGCCACAAATATACCCCTCGAGAAGAGTAACTCTAAGACACATAATTGTCAGATTCACCAAAGTTAAAATGAAGGAAAAAATGTTAAGGGCAGCCAGAGAGAAAGGTCGGGTTACCCACAAAGGGAAGCCCATCAGACTAACAGCTGATCTCTCGACAGAAACTCTACAAGCCAGAAGAGAGTGGGGGCCAATATTCCACATTCTTAAAGAAAAGAACTTTCAACCCAGAATTTCATATCCGGCCAAACTAAGCTTCCTAAGTGAAGGAGAAATAAAATCCTTTACAGACAAGCAAATGCTGAGAGATTCTGTCACCACCAGGCCTGCCCTACAAGAGCTCCTGAAGGAAGCACTAAACATGGAAAGGAACAACTAGTACCAGCCACTGCAAAAACATGCAAAATTGTAAAGACCATCAAGGCTAGGAAGAAACAGCATCAACTAATGAGCAAAATAACCAGCTAACATCATAATGACAGGATCAAATTCACACATAACAATATAAACCTTAAATGTAAATGGGCTAAATGCTCCAACTAAAAGACACAGACTGGCAAATTGGATAAAGAGTCAAGACCCTACAGTGTGCTGTATTCAGGAAACCCATCTCACCTGCAGAGACACACATAGGCTCAAAATAAAAGGATGGAGGAAGATCTACCAAGCAAACAGAAAACAAAAAAAGATTCATAAAGCAAGTCCTTAGAGACCTACAAAGAGACTTAGACTCCCACACAATAATAATGGCAGACTTTAACAACCCACTCTCAACTTTAGACAGATCAATGAGACAGGAAGTTAAAAAGGATATCCAGGAATTGAACTCAGCACTGCTCCAAGTGGACCTAATAGACATCTACAGAACTCTCCACCCCAAATCAACAGAATATACATTCTTTTCAGCACCACACCACACCTAGTCCAAAATTGACCACATAGTTGGAAGTAAAGCACTCCTCAGCAAATGTAAAAGAACAGAAATTATAACAAACTGTCTCTCAGACCACAGTGCAATCAAACCAGAACTCAGAAATAAGAAACTCACTCAAAACCACTCAACTACATGGAAACTGAACGACCTGCTCCTGAGTGACTACTGGGTAAATAACGAAATGAAGGCAGAAATAAAGATGTTCTTTGAAACCAACGAGAGCAAAGACACAACATACCAGAATCTCTGGGACACATACAAAGCAGTGTGTAGAGGGAAATTTATAGCACTAAATGCCCACAAGAGAAAGCAGGAAAGATCTAAAATTGACACCCTAGCATCACAATTAAAAGAACTGGAGAACCAAGAGCAAACATACTCAAAAGCTAGCAGAAGGAAAGAAATAACTAAAATACCCTTCAAAAAATCAATGAATCCAGGAGCTGGTTTTTTGAAAAGATCAACAAAATTGATAGACTGCTAGCAAAACTAATAAAGAAGAAAAGAGAGAATAATCAAATAGACACAATAAAAAATGATAAAGGTAATATCACCACCGATCCCACAGAAATACAAACTACCATCAGAGAATACTATAAACACCTCTATGCAAATAAACTAGAAAATCTAGAAGAAATGGATAAATTTCTGGACACATACACCCTCCCAAGACTAAACGAGGAAGAAGTTGAATCTCTGAAGAGACGAATAACAGGCTCTGAAATTGAGGCAATAATTAATAGCTTACCAACCTAAAAAAAGTCCAGGACCAGATGGATTCACAGCCAAATTCTACCAGAGGTATAAGGAGGAACTGCTACCATTCCTTCTGAAACTATTCAATCAATAGAAAAAGAGGGAATCCTCCCTAACTCATTTTATGAGGCCAGCATCATCCTGATACCAAAGCCTGGCAGACACACAACAAAAAAAGAGAATTTTAGACCAATATCCCTGATGAACATCAAAGCAAAAATCCTCAATAAAATACTGGCAAAGTGAATCCAACAATATATCAAAAAGCTTATCCACCATGATCAAGTGAGCTTCATCCCTGGGATGCAAGGCTGGTTCAACATATGCAAATCAATAAATGTAATCCAGCATATAAACAGAACCAAAGACAAAAACCACGTGATAATCCCAATAGATGCAGAAATGGCCTTTGACAAAATTCAACAGCCCTTCATTCTAAAAACTCTCAATAAATCAGGTATTGATGGGACGTATTTCAAAATAATAAGAGCTATCTATGACAAACCCACAGCCAATATCATACTGAATGGGCAAAAACTGGAAGCATTCCCTTTGCAAACTGTCACAAGACAGGGATGCGCTCTCTCACCACTACTATTCAACATAGTGTTGGAAGTTCTGGCCAGGGCAATCAGGCAGAAGGAAATAAAAGGTATTCAATTAGGAAAAGAGGAAGTCAAATTGTCCCTGTTTGCAGATGACATGATTCTATATCTAGAAAACCGCATTGTCTCAGCCCAAAATATCCTTAAGCTGATAAGCAACTTCAGCAAAGTCTCAGGATACAAAATCAATGTGCAAAAATCACAAGCATTCTTATACACCAACAACAGACAAAGAAAGAGCCAAATCATGAGTGAACTGCCATTCACAACTGCTTCAAAGAGAATAAAATACATATGAATCCAACTGACAAGGGATGTGAAGGACCTCTTCAAGGAGAACTACAATCCACTGCTCAATGAAATAAAAAAGGAGACAAACAAATGGAAGAACATTCCATGCTCATGGGTAGGAAGAATCAATATTGTGAAAATGCCCATGCTGCCCAAGGTAATTGATAGATTCAAAGCCATCCCCATCAAGCTACCAATGACTTTCTTCACAGAATTGGAAAAAACTACTTTAAAGTTCATATGGAACCAAAAAAGAGCCCGCATCGCCAAGTCAATCCTAAGCCAAGAGAACAAAGCTGGAGGCATCATGCTACCTGACTTCAAACTATACTACAAGGCTACAGTAACCAAAACAGCATGATACTGGTACCAAAACAGAGATATAGACCAATGCAACAGAACAGAGCCCTCAGAAATAATGCCACATATCTACAACTATCTGATCTTTGACAAACCTGACAAAAACAAGCAATGGGGAAAGGATTCCCTATTTAATAAATGGTGCTGGGAAAACTGGCTAGCCATATGTAGAAAGCTGAAACTGGATTCCTTCCTTACACCTTATACAAAAATTAATTCAAGATGGGTTAAAGACTTAAATGTTAGACCTAAAACCATAAAAACCCTAGAAGAAAACCTAGGCAATACCATTCAGGACATAGGCACGGGCAAGGACTTCATGTCTAAAACACCAAAAGCAATGGCAACAAAACCCAAAATTGACAAACGGGATCTAATTAAACTAAAGAGCTTCTGCACAGCAAAAGAAACTACCATCAGAGTGAACAGGCAACCTACAAAATGGGAGAAAATTTTCACAATCTACTCATCTGACAAAGGGCTAATATCCAGAATCTACAATGAACTCAAACAAATTTACAAGAAAAAAACAAATAACCCCATCAACAAGTGGGTGAGGGGTATGAACAGACACTTCTCAAAAGAAGACATTTATGCAGCCAACAGACACATGAAAAAATGCTCATCATCACTGGCCATCAGAGAAATGCAAATCAAAACCACAATGAGATATCGTCTCACACCAGTTAGAATGGCAATCAACCATTAAAAAGTCAGGAAACAACAGGTGCTGGAGAGGATGTGGAGAAATAGGAACACTTTTACACTGTTGGTGGGACCATAAACTAGTTCAATGATTGTGGAAGACAGTGTGGCGATTCCTCAGGGACCTAGAACTAGAAATACCATTTGACCCAGCCATCCCATTACTGGGTATATACACAAAGGACTATAAATCATGCTGCTATAAAGACCCATTCATACGTATGTTTATTGCGGCACTATTCACAATAGCAAAGACTTGGAACCAACCCAAATGCCCAACAATGACAGACTGGATTAAGAAAATGTGGCACATATATACCATGGAATACTATCCAGCCATAAAAAATAATGAGTTCATGTCCTTTGTAGGGACAGGGATGAAGCTGGAAACCATCATTCTCAGCAAACTATCACAAGGATAAAAAACCAAACACCACATGTTCTCACTCATAGGTGGGAATTGAACAATGAGTACACATGGACACAGGAAGGGAAACATCACACACTGGGGCCTGTTGTGGGGTGGGGGGATCAGGGAGGGATAGTATTTGGAGACATACCTAATGTTAAATGACGACTTAATGGGTGTACCACACCAACACGGCACATGTATATATATGTAACAAACCTGCACGTTGTGCACATGTACCCTAAAACAAAGTATAATTAAAAATAAATAAACAAAAATATGTACTTGGTCACATGGAGTCTGCTTTATACCATGCTACCTTTTATAATAACCTACATTTTTGAAATACTGTTCACTAGTTTTTAACCTGACATGCAAAATATAATAATTTTGTCCTTGACATTTATTTCATGTCTATAATTTAGTTGGCTTTGCAATAGCATTTTCGATCCATTTCTAAACATTTCATAGAAACACAGTGCCATTAGCCATTTGCAAAATAAACATCACTAAATTGCAAACAAAGTTTTCCCTAATGAAGTTTAGACATGGAAATTGATTAGATTTAAAAAAAACGGAAATAAACACATTCTCTTGCTTCTTGGAGCTTATTATAAATGTCTATTATTTCTTTTTCACTCAAAATTTACATTACATGTTTGAAGTTAATACATCAATGTTTTAATTACATGTTTACATTATCTCCTATATGTATATATGTGTGTGTGTGTATTTATACGATTGTAAACTTATTTTTTTGAGACTTGATCATTTGAGTTACTTGCTTTTATTTTCTTAAATCTCACAGGCCGGGTGCCATGGCTCATGTCTGTAATCCCAGCATTTTGGGAGGCCAAGGTGGGCGGATCACCCAAGGTCAGGAGTTCAAGGCCAGCCTGGCCAACATGGTGAAACGCCATCACTACTAAAAATACAAAAAAATAGCCGAGCGTGGTGGTGGGCGCCTGTAGTCGCAGCTCCTCGGGTGGCTGAGGCATTGAGAATCACATGAACCCAGGAGGCAGAGGTTGCAGTGAACTGAGATCACGCCGCTGCACTCCAGACTGGGCAACAGAGTGAGTCTCTATCTCAATAACAACAGCAGCAGCAGCAACAAAAAGAACTCACAGTGCATCTTGATTCTTCATATCGTTTGTTACATCATGATACAGCTTATAATAGTTACTATTTAATACCTGCTAGGGGCCAATTCTCGGGCTAAGTGCTTTAAACACTTCATTCGACAAACATTTTTTGAGAACCCACTGTACGCTGCACACTGTGAAGCTACTTGGTTTATCAACGAGCAGGACAATTACAGCATCTGAGCTCAGCAAGTGCACCTTCTAGAGAAGGTAAAAGCAGACCGAGGTGGAGTGCGGGGAACAATTTTTCTGACTAGAAAAGGTCAGGGAGCCTCTAAACAGCATTTATCATAGAGCTGCGGGAATCAAGGACCTCAGTCTTGAAAATGTGGTATTTAACCTAAGATTAACAGAGTAAGTAGAATTTAGCCAAGTGAACAAGAGAATAGGGTAAAATTGTCCCTAGCTATGGACACGTTTGCAAAAGGCCCAGAGATGGGAGAGAACGTGTTAGTCAAAGCTGTTTGGCAGTAAATAATAGAAATTTACCAAAATTATCTTAAGAAATAAAAACAAATCAAGTATTGCTGACATGAGTAAAAAGAGTGAGGGAGCGTGAACCCAGGAGGTGGAACTTGCAGTGAGCTGAGATCGCGCCACTGTACTCCAGGCTGGGCGACAGAGCGAGACTACGTCTCAAAAAAAAAAAAAAAAAAAAAAAAGGGAGGGAATTGATTACAGGCGTACCTGGCAGAGGGGCTTCACTGATGTCACTGGATTTTCCCTGTTGTCTGTCTCACACTTCCAGCCATTTCCCTTATTCTTCTGAAACTCCAGTTTTAAAGGACTTCATAGGTGGGAAGATTATGTAATTTTTATTCAAATTGGGATATTTTAAGAGTAAACATGGGTGCTGTTCATCACTATCTGAGACAACAGGTGCAAGCCAGTACTGTCCTGGATAAGGCTGAACGTGTCATCACCCTAATTGCAAGTTAAAATTTCATTCTTCCTATTACAGTAAAGGTTTTAATGAAAATCTTCTCCTGTTTTCATACTTCATTCTTTAATTTCTGTTTGTCACACCGCTACATCTCACTATTTTGCCCAGGCTGGTCTCAAACTCCTGGCCTCAAGTCATCCTCCTGCCTCGGGCTCCCAAAGCAATGGGATTACAGACATGAGCCACTTTGCACAGCCGGTGTTGTTCATGCTTGAGTGTTGTCTGTGTGGTTTGATGATGTTGATGTAGAAAGTAAACAATTGGCGACCTGCAGATTTCGGGAGGTGGTTGTAATGGGGTTGAGAATTCCTAAGTCATCAGCACATGCTTCCCTTCTGGAACTATGAAAATGCATGGATTCCATGGAGATCCTGCTCCCCCCTTGTGAATTATTGACATTGCCTAATTTTGTACAGTAGATTGGAGGTTTCATTGTGATTCTTAGTGAATCTATGTGTAATTTGGTTTTTTGTTGTTGGTTTTGTTTTTTTAGTGTAACATTTCATTCTGTGCCTGCACATGTTAATCTCAACTGTTGGGAGATGTGGTTTAACTGTTTGCCACAGTTCTATTTTAGAACTGGGGGCGGGGGCCTTGCCTGCTGACCCAGGCTCAGAGGCCACCTCTGGCTGATGTTCTCCCCACAGGGAAGGGAGAATGTCCTGGGCCATCCTCTGCGTATTCAAGACCCTGGCATCCTGGCCCAGATGGACCTGAGCTTGCCTCGTAGGGTTGGATGGGCCTTTTCTTTGGGCCTCTCCTCCTGAGGGTAGACAGCTTGGCTTGTATCTGAAATGGTTTGTCAGAGATACAAGGAGCATGGAAATAAGAGAAGTCAGCAGAGGGGTCACAATGTCATGGGTTCACTGCTAGCGGTTCAGGAGCAAGCAGGCGGGGAGGGGGCCAGGAGCAGGAGGAGTCTGCGTCCAGGTAGCAGAATTTCAGCTATGCTCTCCAGGGAGCCTGAGGACTACAAACCACAGCTACCACCCACATCGCTGTGAATGTACATTTGTCAAGGAAGGCATGAGGACTTTTACATATCAAATCACATGGTCTGTGAGCCTCTTTCTGCCCTTGCCCTGCATCCCACAAACATTTAGGGGCAAATGAGACATCACACCTGACACCTCACCCAGGCAGCTTCTCACCATATTTGTGCTGTTTTGAAGTCACTTCTGCCCTTAGATCTTCACTTACACCAATACAAAAATGAATACATGGTTCACTTGCATCCACAAAGGTAATAACTCTTGCCTTAACATAATTCACTTACAAAAGTTCTATAAGCAATAAATTGTAAGCTTTCTAAAACACTTTTTTCTACAGCAAAAAAAGAGAGAAAGAATTGGAACTCTAATTCCAAAAATTTTTAATCAACCGCTAAAATGGCACCATGAAAGACAGAGCTCTCAGTGTGTCAGGGGAATGAGAAATCCATGTAAATATTGATGATTAAGAAAATAAAAAGTCCAGGCCCGGTGGTTCACACCTGTAATCGCAGCACTTTGGGATGCCAAGGCGGGCAAGATCACCTGAGGTCAGGAGTTCGAGGCCAGCATGGCCAACATGGCAAAACCCCGTCTCTTTCAAAAATTCAAAAATTAGCTGGGTAGGGCAGCACATGCCTGTAATCCCAGCTACTCAGGAGGCTGAGGCAGGAGAATCCCTTGAACACGGGAGGTGGCGGTTGCAGTGAGCCCAGACTGAGTCACTGCACACCAGCCTGGGTGACAGAGTGAGACTCTGTCACAAAAAAAATACAAATTTAAAAAAATAAAATAAAGAGAATGGGGGTGAACAGAGAATAGAAGAGTTTAATATGTGAGAGCGTGACTGAGGAACTGGCTTCCTGGAGGAGAAACTGGCATTTCAGGGTGACCCAAATAAGGATTTTTGCAAAGACCAGATAAAGGAGCATTTCAGGGAACCGTGTAGCCAGTGAGAAGTCCCATGTGAGGAATGAGATCATGGATTCCAAGGAAGAATGAGGGGCTGGTGTGGGTGAGGCACAGTGGATGTGTGGCAGGCAGGGCCCTGATCCCACGGGACCAGCAGATCCAGGTGTGGAGCTAGAGTGATGGGAATCCACTCAAGGGTTTTTAAATAAAGAAGTGACATGAACCGATGTGCCTTCTTAGCAGATCTTCCTAGATGCAGTGCAGAGAATGGATTGCACTGGGGGTAGACAAGAAGGAAGTTCGGGCAAGTGCGTTGGGGGAAATAAATAATTAAAACCAAAACTTCTGCCTACCCAGAAAAACCTCTCCACAAAAGTAATAGAGAAAAAAATAAAAACACTATTATTGTTGAATAGGCTTTCAAGTAGAATGCGATTCATGTCACTGGCAATCTGCTAAGAAATTGCAAAGAAATCTCTTTCATTATCAAGCAGATAAAAGTCATTACAGACTTGTTCTCAAGATAAACAGTAACTAGTCCCCTAGCAAGAGGGCTTAACACAACCCTTGGTCAACACATAGTCCGTTCTAGATCCACCCAGAAATTGGGGTGATCATCTGTGGTAGCTGTGGTTTTATATGAAGAAAAAATAAACTTTGTACATCCTTATGAAAGGAGGCCGTTTTGCAACTTGGAGTCAGGTGCCTGCGGAAGATTTAGGCTCCTGTCCTTTCCTGGAAGGGGTAGGCATGGGCGCTACCTTCCTTGATGATGCATTTCAAAGAGATGGCCTCAGATCCTAAGGAAAGACATTCCTAGGTCTTAAAGCTGACAGGAGGCTTATTTAGCTTTTGTAAACATCCACATACATTTCAAAGGAACTGAGAAAGTACTTCCAGTTGTAGGTTTTCTAAACAAAATGCTCTAAGAAAGAGAGGGGGAAAAGTCTGGTCCTTTATCTCCTGCAGGGAGAATTCAGCCTCTCACTTTTGTTTTGCAAATGCCCTTACACAGGCTCCTAGTGACTGGGACCCAGGTACCGGAAGGAACTGGAGGTGCTTCTCAGGGTGGCAGGATGTGCCCTGGAATGAATGTTTGCTGTGGACAGGGAGGACTCAAGGACAACTACTAAGGTTTTGATTTGAGCAACTCAGAAGACAGGAGTGCCATTTACAGAGAGGGCAAAATAGTAAATACAAACTCAATTAATGCATTAATGCAGAAATTAACGAAATTCATGATCTGCTTTACAAATTCACAATGCTAACACGTCCCCTTTCCTCCACAGTTGACCTTCTAAAATACCCTCCTGTCCTTTTGAGCACCAAATTCAGAATCTCCCTCTTGAGGAATCACAGTTCTTCTTGGAAATAGCCAAAAAATAACTTCAGGATCACATGTTCCCGAAGGGAGTCAGTTTTACTTCTCAGCGCCCTTGGGGTGGAGGACTGGGCTGAGAGTCAGGTCCTAAAAATCTGAGGCTGCTTGCTGCCAAGCAGTGTCCCTGCTGAAGACGGATCCCGCACCCATCTGTGACTATGATGCTTGGAGGGTGTGCAGATACTGGATTTCCGCTTATTACTTTATATCCCTCCCATTCAACCCTTGTTTCCCAAATAGCATTCACTTTTCCATTCACCGTCCAGGGTGATAAAGGGCTCAGATTGTCAGCCACATTCAAGGCTGAATCAAAGCTGCCCCCAAAATGTTTCACCCTGGCTGTCCTGCCTTGGGTTCAACGTGTGTCTATGATTTCCCCCTTTGAAGAGCTGATGTCTGCAGCGACCTAGGTTAGAGGCGACCCAGATGTATGTACAGTGTAAAAGCTGGTGTACTTGGCTGGGACCTTATTCCTTTCTTCCTGGAAAGACTGCTTATGCAAACTAACCCTGCTCCACCTGGCCATTAAAAAGGGATGGTCTCTGTTAAACAAAAGCAGATTGCTCTCCAGGGTAATGGGGGAGGACACGTCCTAGGTTTGCATAACTAAGAGGACCTCCGGAGTGACTGCCTGATTCCTAAATTGCCGCAGCCTGACTCCAGTGAACAGAAACAAGGAGCTTCGCAGGCTACTGACCCTCCAAAATACAGGAAAAGAAAGAATAAAAAGTGTTCCACCAGCCTCGCAATAGCATCTCTGCCTAGCCAGGAGCCAATTCTACTTTATAAACCTGATTTCGAACCCAACAGCTTTCCTTCACGTGTTGAACGACAGAGGGTCTATGTAATGCGCACGTTGTGATCTGTGTACTAGATGCGACTGCTTCTGTATATTGGTATTGCTTTATGTATTTTTCTACAGATGTGAGAAGCATTTTATCTATCGAGGTACGCAGGGATGTTTTAAATGATGCGTATGCTAAGCAAACGTACTTCTATGAACTAATACCTCGGTCAACAAATAAAATTTTACATAACGTTTAAAAAACATGTATGTAGTTCATGCATTTAATAGACTGTGGCCCCAACTTTGTTTTAGCAAAAAAGGAAAATAACAAAACTTTGCATATACATATAAATATAATATTCATCATATAATTATATATAAATGACAATATTATATATAAATGATATTGTTTATATAAATACATAAATAATATTTGTAATTTTCATAAATAATTATATTTATTGTCAGGCCTGTGAGCCCAAGCTAAGCCATCATATCCCCTGTGACCTGCATGTACACATCCAGATGGCCAGTTCCTGCCTTAACTGATGACATTCCACCACAAAAGAAGTGAAAATGGCCTGTTCCTGCCTTAACTGATGACATTATCTTGTGCAATTCCTTCTCCTGGCTCATCCTGGCTCAAAAACTCCCCTGCTGAGCATCTTGTGACCCCCTCCACACCTGCCCCCCAGAAAACAACCCCCTTTGACTGTAATTTTCCTTTACCTACTCAAAGTCTCCCTTCAGTGACTCTCTTTTCGGACTCAGCCCACCTGCACCCAGGTGAAATAAACAGCTTTATTGCTCACACAAAGCCTGTTTGGTGGTGTCTTCACATGGACGCGAGTGAAATGTGGTGCTGTGACTCGGATCGGGGGACCTCCCTTGGGAGATCAATCCCCTGTTCTCCTGCTCTTTGCTCCGTGAAAAAGATCCACCTACCACCACGGGTCCTCAGACCCACCACCCCAAGGAACATCTCACCAATTTTAAATCGGGTAAGCGGCCTCTTACTCTCTTCTCCAACCTCCCTCACTATCCCTCAACCACTTTCTCCTTTCAATCTTGTCGCCACCCTTCAATCTCTCCCTTCTGTTAATTTCAATTCCTTTCATTTTCTGGTAGAGACAAAGGAGACACGTTTTATCCGTGGACTCAAAACTCCGGCGCTGGTCACGGACTACGGAAGGCAGCCTCCCCATTGCAGGGACATCTCTCTGATTGTTCACCCACGTTTCAGAGGTGTCTGACCACTCAGGGACGCCTGCCTTATTTCCACGCCCCAACCTCTTATCTCTGTACCCCGATCCCTTATTTCTGCGCCCTGACCTCTTATATCTGCGCCCCAACCCCTTATTTCTGCGCCCCAACCCCTTTCCCGCTTGTCTGGAGGGTAAGAAACCCCGAACCCCTTCCCTCCATGTCTCTACTCTCTCTTTTCTCTGGGCTTGCTTCCTTCACTATGGGCAACCTTCCGCCCTCCATTCCCCTCTCTTCTCCCTTAGCCTGTGTTCTTAAAAACCTAAAACCTCTTCAACTGTCACCTGACCTAAAACCTAAATGCCTTATATTCCTCTGCAATGCCGCTTGACCCCAGTACAAACTCGACAGTGGTTCCAAATAGTCAGAAAATGGCACTTTCAATTTTTCCACCCTGCAAGATCTAAATAATTCTTGGCATAGAATGGGCAAATGGTCTGAGGTGCCTGACGTCCAGGCATTCTTTTACACATCAGTCCCTACCTAGTCTCTGTTCCCATGCAACTCATCCCAAATCTTCCTTCTTTCCCTCCTACCTGTCCCCTCAGTCCCAACCCCAAGCGTCGCTGAGTCTTTCTAGTCTTCCTTTTCTACAGCCCCATCTGACCTCTCCCTTCCTCCCCAGGCCGAGCTAGGTCCCAAATCTTCCTCAGCCTCCGTTCCTCCACTCTATAATCCTTTTATCACCTCCCCTCCTCACACCTGGTCCAGCTTACTGTTTCATTCTGGGACTAGCCCTCCCCCACCTGCCCAGCAATTTACTCTTAAAAGGTGGCTGGAGCTAAAGGCATAGTCAAGGTTAATGCTCCTTTTTCTTTATCCCAAATCAGATAGTGTTTAGGCTCTTTTTCATCAAATATAAAAATCCAGCCCAGTTCATGGCTCGTTTGGCAGCAAACCTGAGACGCTTTACAGCCCTAGACCCTAAAAGGTCAAAAGGCCGTCTTATTCTCAATATACATTTTATTACCCAATCTGCTCCCGGCATTAAATAAAACTCCAAAAATTAAATTCCAGCCCTCAAACCCCACAACAGGACTTAATTAACGTCGCCTTCAAGGTGTACAATAATAGAATAGAGGCAGCCAAGAAGCAACATATTTCTAAGTTGCAGTTCCTTGCCTCCACTGTGAGACAAACCCCAGCCACATCTCCAGCACACAAGAACTTCCAAATGCCTGAACCGCAGCGGCCAGGCGTTCCTCCAGAAACACCTCCCCCAGGAGCTTGCTACAAGTGCCAGAAATCTGGCCACCAGGCCAAGGAATGCCTGCAGCCCAGGATTCCTCCTAAACCGTGTCCCGTCTGTGCAGGACCCCACTGAAAATCAGACTGTTCAACTCACCTGGCAGCCACTCCCAGAGCCCCTGGAACTCTGGCCCAAGACTCTCTGACTCACTCCTTCCCAGATCTTCTCGGCTTAGTGGCTGAAGACTGACACTGCCAGATCACCTCGGAAGCCCTGTAGACCAACACAGATGCCGAGCTTTAGGTAACTCTCACAGTGGAGGGTAAGACCGTCCCCTTCTTAATCAATATGGAGGCTACCCACTCCACATTACCTTCTTTTCAAGGACCTGTTTCCCTTGCCTCCATAACTGTTGTGGGTATTGACGGCCAGGCTTCTAAACCTCTTAAAACTCCCCAACTCTGGTGCCAGCTTAGACAATACTCTTTTAAGCACTCCTTTTTAGTTATCCCCACCTGCCCAGTTCCCTTATTAGGCCGAGACACTTTAACTAAATTATCTGCTTCCCTAACTATTCCTGGACTACAGCTACATCTCATTGCCGCCCTTCTTCCCAATCCAAAGCCTCCGTTGCGTCCTCCTCTTGTATCCCCTCACCTTAACCCACAAGTATGAGATACCTCTACTCCCTCCTTGGTGACCGATCATGCACCCCTTATCATCTCATTAAAAACTAATCACCCTTACCCTGCTCAATGCCAATATCCCATCCCACAGCATGCTTTAAAAGGATTAAAGCCTGTTATCACTTGCCTGCTACAGCATGACCTCTTAAAGCCTATAAACTCTCCTTACAATTCCCCCGTTTTACCTGTTCTAGAACCAGACAAGCCTTACAGGTTAGTTCAGGATCTGCGCCTTATCAACCAGATTGTTTTGCCTATCCACCCAGTGGTGCCAAACCCATATACTCTCCTAACCTCGATACCTCCCTCCACAACCCATTATTCTGTTCTAGATCTCAAACCTGCTTTCTTTACTATTCCTTTGCGCCTTTCATTCCAGCCTCTCTTCACTTTCTCTTGGACTGACCCTGACACCCATCAGGCTCAGCAGATTACCCGGGCTGTACTGCCGCAAAGCTTCACAGACAGCCCCCATTATTTCAGTCAAGCCCAAATTTCTTCCTCATCTGTTACCTATCTCGGCGTAATTCTCATAAAAACACACGTGCTCTCCCTGCCAATCGTGTTCAGCTGATCTCTCAAACCCCAACACCTATAAAACAACAACTCCTTTCCTTCCTAGGCATGGTTGGATACTTTCGACTTTAGATACCTGGTTTTGCCATCCTAACAAAACCATTATATAAACTCACAAAAGGAAACCTTGCTGACCCCATAGATCCTAAGTCCTTTCCCCACTCCTCTTTCCGTTCCTTGAAGACAGCTTTAGAGACTGCCCCCATCCTAGCTCTCCCTGTCTCATCCCAACCTTTTTCATTACCCACAGCTGAAGTGTGGGCTGCGCAGTCAGAATTCTTACACAAGAACCGGGACCGCACCGAGTAGCCTTTTTACCCAAATTACTTGACCTTACTGTTTTGCCTAGCCCTCAAGTCTTCTTGTGGCAGCCGCCACCACCCTAATCCTTTTAGAGGCCCTTAAAATCACAAACTATGCTCAACTCACTCTCTACAGTTCTCATAACTTCCAAAATCTATTTTCTTCCTCACACTTGACACATATACTTTCTGCTCCCCGGCTCCTTCAGCTGTATTCACTCTTTGTTGAGTCTCCCACAATTACCATTGTTCCTGGCCCGGACTTCAATCCAGCCTCCCACATTATTCTGGATACCACACCTGACCCCTATGACTATAACTCTCTGATCCATCTGACATTCACCCCATTTCCCCATGTTTCCTTCTTTCCTGTTCCTCGCCCTCATCACGCTTGGTTTATTGAGGGCAGTTCCACCAGGCCTAATCGCCCCACGCCAGCAAAGGCAGGCTATGCTATAGTACTAGCCACTAGCCCGCCTCTTAGAACCTCTCATTTCCTTTCCATCATAGAAATCTATCCTCAAGGAAATAACTTCTCAGTATTCCATCTGCTATTCTACTACTTCTCAGAGATTATTCAGGCCCCCACCCTTCCCTACACATCAAGCTCCAGGATTTGCCCCTGCCCAAGACTGGCAAATTAGCTTTACTCAACATGCCCCGAGTCAGCAAACTAAAATACCTCTTGGTCTAGGTAGACACTTTCACTGGATAAGTAGAGGCCTTTCCCACAGGGTCTAAGAAGGCCACCATAGTCATTTCTTCCCTTCTGTCAGACATAATTCTTCAGTTTAGCCTTGTCATTTCTTTCCTTCTGTCAGACATAATTTCTCGGTTTGGCCTTCCCACCTCTATACAGTCCAATAGCAGACCGGCCTTTATTAGTCAAATCAGCCAAGCATTTTTTCAGGCTCTTGGTATTCAGTGAAACCTTTATATCCCTTACGCTCCTCAGTATTTAGGAAAGGTAAAACGGACTAATGGTCTTTTAAAACCTTACCAAGCTCAGCCACCACTTAAAAAGGAATAGAAAGTGCTTTTACCACTTTCCCTTCTCAGAATTCAGGTCTGTCCTCAGAATGCTACAGGGTATAGCCCATTTAAACTCCTGTATAGATGTTCCTTTTTCTTAGGCCCCAGTCTCATTCCAGACACCACACCAACTTTGACTGTGCCCCAAAAAACTTGTCATCCCTACTATCTTCTGTCTAGTCATACTCCTATTCACCATTCTCAACTACTTATACATGCCCTGCTCTTGATTACACTGCTGGTTTACACTATTTCTCCAAGCCATTACAGCTGATATCTCTTGGTGCCATCCCCAACCTGCCACTCTTAACACTTAAAGTAAATAAATAATCTTTGCTGGCAAGGCTATGCTGAACCTCGTCAGGCACTCTCTAATTAGATGTCCTGGGTGGTCCCAATTCTTAGTCCCTTAATACCTGTTTTTCTCCTCTTATTCCGTTTAGTTTTTCAATTCATACAAAACTGTATCCAGGCCATCATCAATAATTCTAAATGACAAATGTTTCTTCTAACAACCCCACAATATCACCCCTTACCACAAAATCTTCCTTCAGCTTCATCTCTCCCACTCTAAGTTCCCATGCTGCCCGTAGTCTCGCTCCAAGCAGCCCTGAGAAACATCGCCCATTATGTCTCCATACCACCCCCAAAAATTTTTGCCGTCCCAGCACTTTACAACTATTTCATTTTATTTTTCTTATTAATATAAGAAAACAGGACTTTCAGGCCTCTGAACCCAAACTAAGCCATCATATCCCCTGTGACCTGCATGTACACATCCAGATGGCCAGTTCCTGCCTTAACTGATGACATTCCACCACAAAAGAAGTGAAAATGGCCTGTTCCTGCCTTAACTGATGACATTATCTTGTGAAATTCCTTCTCCTGGCTCATCCTGGCTCAAAAGCTCCCCTGCTGAGCACCTTGTGACACCCCCACACCTGCCCACCAGAGAACAACCCCCCTTTGACTGTAATTTTCCTTTACGTACCCAAATCTTATAAAACGGCCCCACCCGTATCTCCCTTCGGTGACTCTCTTTTCGGACTCAGCCCGTCTGCACCCAGGTGAAATAAACAGCTTTATTGCTCACACAAAGCCTGTTTGGTGGTCTCTTCACACGGACGCGAGTGAAATTTATTATTTAAATCTGTATTATATATTATAAAATAAATATATAATATATAGCATATCATAAAATAAATATACAAAAATATATAAGTATAATTATAAAAATTATATTTATAGTATAATTATAAAAATTATATTTATAGTATAAGTATAATTATAAAAATTATACTTGTAGTATAAGTATAATTATAAAAATTATACTTGTAGTATAAGTATAATTATAAAAATTATATTTGTAGTATAAGTATAATTATAAAAATTATATTTGTAGTATAAGTATAATTATAAAAATTATATTTGTAGTATAAGTATAATTATAAAAATTATATTTATAGTATAATTTAAAAAATTATAGTATAAGTATAAAAAATATATTTATAGTATAAGTATAAAATTATATTTATAGTATAAGTATAAAAATTATATTTATATGCAAAGTTGTGTTATTTATATAATATATAAATATATAATATTTAATATAAAAATATTATATACTTTTATTTATATGCAAAGTTGTGGTTTTTTGGTTTTTTGTTTTGAGATGGAGTCTCGCCCTGTTGCCCATGCTGGAGTACAATGGTGCCATCTCAGCTCACTGTAACCTCCACCTCCTGAGTCTCCTGCCTCAGCCTCCCGAGTAGCTGAGATTACAGACACACACCACCATGACCAGCTAATATTTTGTATCTTTAGTACAGACAGGGTTTCACCATGTTGGTCAGACTGGTCTCGAACTGCTGACCTTTTGATCCACTCGCCTCGGCCTCCCAAAGTGCTAGGATTGCAGGTGTGAGCTACCGCACCCGGCCTGCAAAGTTGTGAGACTATATATATATCTCTCTTATCTAGTTGCAAAAAGATTGGCGTTATTGCAGCGTCCAGTTCTGCAGTGCAGTAGCCGCACGTTGTCAATCCTGCTGTTGGAAACAGTCAGACCCACTGCTGTTTTGTGAAGGGCAGCGCAGGTTCTTTGTTGCTCAAGCTGACTGGCATGGCTCTGGATGCAGCCTGACAGGTGGCAGAGATGTCCCCTCAGAGGCCAATGGGCCTGTGGAAAGTGCCTCTGTGACTTGAGATTTTCCAGGGAACGCCTGTGGGAAACTGGAAAACAGGGCACTCATAATCTCAGGAACAGCGCTGCCTTTTTCTAGGGTCGTTGAGGGATAAGATGGATGCAACTGAAAATGTTTTCTTTTTTATGGCAAGAAACTAGAAACCTTCAGAGTCAGCAAAAAATCCAATTTGCAGAAAACATATTTAAGAGAAAAATGAGTGAAGTGTATGATGTGGCACATAAAAGAATACAGCCCTGGAAGAGGAATGACAGCGTGCTCTGCCAATCACTTTGTGAAGAGCCTGAAGTGGAAAAGCAGTTTCTGCCCCTAATGGAGTGCCCCTGGGTGGGGGTTTGTATTAGTCTAGAATAAGCTTTCTTGCCTTTAACAGAAAACATCTTTGCATCATTCATAACTAGAGGAAAATAAAATGAAATTTGTTTCAAAGACCCAACCGATGTATTCTGCACTACATTGTTTAAAATTGTTCTCTTTCTCCTTCCTCAAGCCTTCTTATTGGTTTTTTAGTCCAATCTGGCTAACTCTAGGAACTTTTCATCTTTATTTCATAATTCTAAATACAAAGTGTTTGGGGGTTTGTTTAAACTTAAGTAAGCCTTAGTAGTTTATGGCAATTTTAAATAACCTTTGAAAATATACAAGCAGATATATACATTAGCTCTAAATGTATATATAATTATTTTATTGAAACTCACATTTTCGGCGAGGCGCGGTGGCTCACACCTGTATTCCCAGCACTTTCGGAGTCCGAGGCAGGCAGATCACAAGGTTAAGAGATCGAGACTCTCCTGGCTAACATGGTGAAACCCTGTCTCTACTAAAAATACAAAAAAATTAGCCTGGTGTGGTGGTAGGCGCCTGTAGTCCCAGCTACTCCGGAGACTGAGGAAGGAGAATGGCGTGAACCCGGAAGGCGGAGCTTGCAGTGAGCCGAGATTGTGCCACTGCACTCCAGCCTGGGCGACAGATCAAGACTCTGTCTCAAAAAAAAAAAAAAAAAAACTTACATCTTCATATAACTGGCATAAACTCGAGCTAATTATGTAGATGCAGTATTTCTGTTTATTAGACAACATGAACTTCACAAGTTTAAAACTTTTAATTGCATGCTGCATTATTATTGTTATACGTATTCCAAATAAAAATTGGGTTGAGAACTACAAAAGGTACTTTCAAAAATGAATAGAATATTATACCATGAAAGGACATGTAACCACTAGTGCAAGGCACTGTTTCTACTGATATTCTGTGGACTTCTATTTGGAAGGATCTTAAGAGATTTTCTAGGAAAACTGTGCTCTATGATGACAATGTGGGATACGCTGGATTAAACAATGATTTTTAGAAGTTTTTTACTGTGGTACAGCTCTGAGCCTTTAATCCTTAATGTGCAATGGGAATGTCTAAGGGGAAACTGGGGTGTGCAGTATTTGCCAATCTCATTTGACCAGATCCTATTAACTCCCAGAAAAGTGTTCAACAGAGCACTTATTTTTTGCAAGGCTGATATATCCGTTAAAATTCTTATTCATGTATAAAATCTGTGCACCTTTGTGTAAAACTTTCCTAGTAGTGAGTATTATATATCTTTTCTTTTGATAAACATTAAATAAAAATATGGGAATGAGAAATGAAAACATCTTGGTTTTAAAAATTATAATGAAACTGTTATCCCTGATGTCCTTGGCTCACCTCCTAAACTTTTGTTTTTAAATTCTTGTACTATTATATAACATTCATTTCATTGTATAAATGTTGCGATATTTACAGTGACTATCACTGTATGACAATTATTTTAATATTATACACTTATTGTTAATTTTTTAACCTATATAAACTGTGACAGAAATTATCACTTGCAAATGAGTGCTTAATTATACATGTCACCACTTGCTTGAGGAAAGGAAGAATTTTCCTTTGAAGATGGGAAGTTCATTCAGATGAACAAGATTGTGCATGTACAGTAGGATTTGCTTTTGATTATTTTCTGAAAACCAGAGAAATCTCAACAACAGTTGATCATAGATTCTATAGGAATATCACTCAAAGAGTAAATTCAAGAATTTGTGTAAAATGCTGGTTCAGGAAGGGTACCCCTTTGGTACCAAGATGATGGCCAATTGCCTTGTGATTCTGGTGATTGTATTCTATGATTAGTGTTCTACGTTAGAAAAATGTGTGGCTTATGGGTGAGACCTTCGTGACTTTCTAACTGTAAGTGTTGCATCTTCACATCTATCCTGCCTTCCTCTGCTCTCCCAGGCTTCTCTTGGAGTAATATGCTTGGATTTCCCTGTGTTCCAGTCTTTGCAGCTGATGGGAGGAAAGTGGGAAAGTACAGCAATGGCCTTCCGGTAACTCCTATTGTCATTCCCGCTCTCTTTCCATTGAAAAACCTACTCCGAAACCCAAGCACTCTCTTCTAGATCTCCACTGAGAGTGCTGTTTTCAAGTGAGATTCCCCTGTTCAAAACACGAGTAATGATAATAATACTGATAATGACGAGAAGAATGATGTCTCAGAAATCATGGCCAGTGTTTAAGAAATAAGTGTGATTGAGTGGCTTCCGTTTGCAGTATTACAGTGAGGACTCTGAAAATTTATATGCTGAAAATACAGTAAAAGTGCTGGATAAAATTGGTTTTGGATTTTCAAATTGTGTCATTGAACCTGCAACAAAATAAGGAATCCCGGTTGATATGAAATGCAGAAATGGAGAGAGATTGTGAAGCTAGGAAGCCAGCCCTGCCCTGATTGCCTCTGCTGATCCTCTGTGATGTGGAGCTTCCACTCTCAGAGTCCCTTGGCTCAGGGAATAGAAAGCAAATCTAAGGTCTTTCTGAGGTTGAAAATATCATAGGAGACCCTCATGTATAGCTGGAACACCAAAGGGTGTTCTACTCACAGAGTGGGGAGAATACACAGACATCGATGTTGACAGAGACATAGATGCATGCAACTCACAACCGCCGGCGGGATTCACACTAGTCTGTAGGTGAATTTCTACCATCCCTGGGATCCAAAATGCCTCAAGCTGTTAATTTATTTTTGAAAAAAGGAGGTTTTCTGTTGTTCCAGGCAGATCCTGTAATCTAATGTGACTCTCCTCTGGATGGGTGTACCTTCAAAGCAGAATGCAAAGAATTACCATAAGTCAAGTTCCCCAGAACAGAAGTACAAATGTGAAAACTTACAAACAACTTAGTTTACATGAGAAATTGGAATTCTTATCGGATTCAGACTGTAATCATGAAAAAAAAGAGAATAAAAATATGAATAGGAAACCAAATACTATATGAACGGCCAAGTAAATGTGAAACTAATCCAAGCCATCACATGTCCTTACTAAACATAACTTGCAAAAACCAACCAAACAAAACAAAACGAACAAACCATTTTAGTGTATTAGTCTGTTTTCTACTGCTTATAACAGAATATCTGAAACTGGGTAATTTATAAAGAAAATAAATATACTTCTCACAAATATGCTGGCTGAGAAGTCCAAGGTCGAGGGACCACATCTGGCCCTCTTGCTGGTGGGGATTCTGGAGTCCTAACGTGTGCAGGCATCGCCTGGCGAGGGGCTGAGCATGCCAGCTCAGGTCACTCTTCCTATAAAGTCACCAATTCCCCTCCTGTGATAGCCCATAAATCCGTTAATCCACTAATTTACAAATGATTAATACAATCACCTCTTAAAGGCCTCACCTCCCAATATGACCATATTGATTACATTTCAACGTAAGTTTTTGAGGAGACAAATAGTCAAGCCATAGTATTTATGAAGTAGAAAAATTAGGCCAAATAAAAACTCAGAAAAAAAAAATGAAAAGAAAACATAATAAGCAAACAAATTGATAAGTATGTATGAAAATTTAAACAATCATCAGTCAACTATGTCAAACAATAATATTTAATGTATGAGGTTTATAAAAACAAATGGACAATGACAATGTCTAATTTAAGATTTTTTTTTTAAATAACTGAAATACCTAGCAATGCATGTAATTAGGAAGAGAATAATAAATATTAAAGAAGAAGGTAAGACTATTACAACTAAATACATACTGAAATTTCTAGAAAGTCTACTAAAATAAAAGCACGAGAAAAAATTAATTAGTATGAAAGCAAGCAAAAAGGTAGAGCATATGGGGGTGCACATAGAAAACACAAGCTAAGATGGTCGAGAGAAATCCAAATAGAGCAGGAACTTCAGGGCACATAAGGAGACTAAACTATCCAATTAAAAGACAATTCTGGGATTGAATTTAAAGGACAATCTAACTGCATGCTGTTTGGAAGTGAAAATCCAAAACATAGCAGCCCATGTCATTTGAAAGAGCAAATGTGTACCAGCAGCATGTACAAGAGTTTTCGCAGCAGCATTTTATATAAGGGTAAAAAGAAAAATGACCCAAAGATCCATCAAGAAGAGGATGGAAAAATCATGGTGCATTCCTGCAATGGAAAACTATACAGCAATAAAAATGAGTAGACCAGAGCATCATGCCTAAATGTAGATGACTCCCAAAAACATAATACAAGCAAGGGGGAGAGAGACAGAGAGTCACAGAACTTGCAATATGTATTCCAGTTAAGCATTTAAGACAGAGAGAGTCACAGAACTTGCAACATATAATTCCAGTTAAGCATTTGATTTCAGGAAACTGATATATGTGGCTAAAAGTGGAATGCATACATTTATAGTCACTGTGAAGAAAAGCAAGGGAATGATAAACATAAAATTCAGAAAGTGACTTCCCCTGAAGTGGAGGAAGAAGGTGATATGGGGAAGGGTATGTTCTACGCATTGATCATACTGATGTATTGGTAAATACTCTATTGCTTAGAGTTGGTAGCACAGATGTTCATTTCATTGTTCTCATTGTGTTATAGATACACACATGTATATATTTCAATGTAATAACAATCAATTTGAGAGAAAGAGAGTGGTGAAGACAGCTTCTTGCCTCAATTAGCTTAGAGAATAGCAAGGAGAAAGACAAGTTAGCAAATTTTCACACTTCATCTTCATAGCAGACTTAATGACTTAGATATTAGTCTAATTTTTACTGATTTGTTAGCTGATGATAAGTGTGCTTAAGTGATCATTAAGTACTAATTAGGTACTAATTAAGTCCTGATGGGATTTGAAGCAGGTCTGACCAACTATAGGATCCTTGATGTCTGTATCATATGACACTATTGGATAGAGCTTTGGTCTTTTAATCTGCACAGTTTAACATTTTCTCTTGTCCTGAATTATTTGTTCATTGCCACCCCTATTAGGTTAAAAATGTCTGAATAACACAGAGCAGGTCTTATTCTTTTTTATATATCTTCTAACTTTTTATTTAAATGGATTTTATTATTCCATTTATCTATCCATATGTAGACATATGTATATGCACACACACGCACACACACAAATGCTTCAGAATTTACAAAACAAAACGCAAAGCCTACTCATTACTTTAAGGCTTCAAATATTAAAATGGACAGTGTGATGGTATGTATATAGAACAATACACTAATCTCTTTTTTTTTGCTCTTTCATAAAACTTGGTGTTGAAAACAGTGAAGTACTTTGCAGAGAAAAAGTCAGCTTTTAATTGTCATCTCTTATGCAGTGGAGTGGAAGAAAGAGCTCGTTATTCTAACTGAAAGTAAAAATGAGAAAAAATCTAAGCTTTGGATTTTTCAGGAGTACCTATCTTTCTAATTTTCAGTGCGACACATAATACACAGCAGTTATAGAAACTGGAGAAAACAACTGCTATTTCTTGAGGCTGCTGTATTTTAGAGTGATGGGGGATACTCTGGTGAAAACTCTGGGCTTGCGGTAGCCTTCTGTGATTAGGCGCAGGCAGAGTCGATGGCTGCATATGGGAGGTGATTTTAGGCTCGCCGTTTGCAATGCACTTTACACATGATTACCAGAAACTGATATGATAAGGCTCCAGTGGCCCCTGAAAGCACAGGCACCAGCCGGCTTTGCAGAGTCTGGCCTCTACTCAGCAGATTTGAGATTCTTTATATATATGCAGAAAGGCAGGATATTATTTTCAGAGCTTTTGTTAATATTAGGGTGGCCATATAATATATTGTCCAACTTGGAATTTTTTGGGTGAGTGAAAGGGGGTTATTAATAATTTTGCCGTGGCAATGTCACCTATGGGATCCTGGGTATAACTCACTGGTCATCTCCTCTAGACCTTCCACCCTTGGCATCTCAACAAAGGTTATTGGATCACCTTTGAAGGCACAGACCTTAAGGAAATTCTTCCTATTTTGTTTTCCTTGAGGTTGGTGTACTTTAACTAGTTTATGTAATTTGCAGTATGGGGTTTCATTAAAATATTGCTGAAGAGAAAATCAGTCTGTGTGTATGTATGTATTTATTCTAAGGATAATGTAATTTTTGTTTTAAAAAAACCCTTGATATATTTCATCATTGGTTGCATTTTCAACAGAATCTTGCTAGAGTTTATGCAATGCAAGCACAATGAAGATGTATGTTATTGAATGTACCCCTGGGAAAAGAAACTATTTTCGTATGTTCATGTGTAGACAAATGACTTATTAGGCCAATGAAGAGTGCTTCAACCCACAAGAACAACCACACCGACAAGAATGTGGAAACCATGTTTTCCAGCCTGTGACCTTGCCTTCTCTTTTGTTTGCAGCCTCAATTGCAGCCACCTGTAACGATCCAGGTATGCCCCAAAATGGCACCCGCTATGGAGACAGCAGAGAGGCTGGAGACACCGTCACATTCCAGTGTGACCCTGGCTATCAGCTCCAAGGACAAGCCAAAATCACCTGTGTGCAGCTGAATAACCGGTTCTTTTGGCAACCAGACCCTCCTACATGCATAGGTATCAGACAACAGAACTTAGAAATTTTATATTCAGGAATGGATGCATGTTGTCGTTAAAAGCGCTCCGTAAATGTATTATTTCTTCAGAAATATTTCTCAAGAGTTTCTTTCATGTTCTCTGGCTCTCTGAGACTCCTGAAATTTTATTGTAAACCTTTAAACTTTATTTTATGAGGTAGAATAAAGGAAGTCATCCCCTTAAGGTACAGTAATTGACATTTACCGTATATTTCCTACCCTTAACAAATGTTACATAAACATGGATCAATCAAATGTCTGTAATTTAAAATTCTAGTTGCCTCAAAATTTATAAACCTACCATTGCTATTCTGATTTTTAATATAGAAACATGCCCTTAAGCAAAACCTACTCACTAAAAGTACTTTCTCTTTTTAGATGTTTTTCCCCCTATGATATTAGTACATTTAAAATAGAATTCTGAAAACTAGAAATTATACTGTTTGTGTTAAAATGAAGATAAAAGGAGGTTTGTTTCTGAAATTTATTGACATTTTATAGTTTGACCTTATTAAAAGGATAACAAATGATTTTGCAGACTTTGGCTTGAATAGCCACCTGAGACAATTTATCACAAATATGTTTGTAGGCTAATATATATTTTATGTAAAATAGTAATTGCAGGTAGATTGTCTCTTCATTCAATAAAATATTCTACTAATAAAATTCGTACTTAGAGTATATCATCTAAGTCTTAAAAAGAAACTACTGAACTTTATTATTTTAAGTAACTGTCACAGTTTAATTAGTACTTCTTTATAATCTGTCTGAAAAATGTAAAATTTAATTGATGTGTGAAGAGAGAAAGTGATCATGAAATGGATAGGCCATTTTGCATAGGATGACCTTGAGGGGGTTTGTGGTTTGAACTGGTTTTTATTGTCGTGTACACAGCGGTGGTGAAATTCTCAGTGGTCTTGGGGAGCTGTGATACGGCGCTCCTACTTATGACAAACCACTTATCCCAGTTGTCTGAAGACAGATGAGGTTGGATAGCTGTCCTTATCAGCCTTCTCAGCCTTGTCGGGGAGCAATGTATGTGTGTTTAATGTCTGGTGCTGCGTTTACTTTTCATAGCGTCTGTGAGCACAGTCACGCGTTTTACTCAAGCTGAGTCACCGGGAGACTGCAGAGATTTCGGCGTGTTTCTTTTTTAAAGTGGAGTGATTGCCTATCAATGTGGCGATCATTTTAAACCAATGGCCTACTTTTACAGTAGGAAAGGGTTTTTTTTTTTCCTTCCATTTTGCATGTTTTTAGGCTCGTGGAGGAATACATTAAAAAGCAATATAACTACGAGTTAATCCCTTAAAAGTAATTTATTAATTTATATTAATTTGAACATGTAATTATAAAAGTTGGCCATCTCCTAATGAATCTATAAACAAATCGATCTTCTGTTAGATCATCTCTTAGTTACTTTATTTTGACCAGCCACTAGGTAGTCCAATACGCACCAAAAGGTAAATAAATACCCCTGTCTCTACCTTGAATGTCAGCTTCAAGGACAAGCTGAAATCACTTGCAGGCAGATGAATAATCAATTATTTTGGCAACCAGACCCGCCTACATGCGTAGGTGTTATGTAACAGAAAAATGGAAAATATATAATTGGAAATAAGTTAACATTATATTTTTATTACTTTGTAATTTTCTGTTTTTTAGGAATGAGGTTTATGTCCTCTGTAAGAAGCTTGCCCATTAGGGCATGAGTTAATTATAATTAGCACTCATGTAAATTCTGTTTCAAAGATTCAAAACACTTTTTAATTTTTTTACCTTTTTTCATATTAAAGGGTAATACATTTTACTGAAGACATTTTATAAACTATAATTAAATCAAAGAGGAGAAAAAAGTTGTCATCTTTTTACCTGGAGACAATTACAATTAATATAGACATTTATAAATGATTTCATAATTATGTATATGTAATCCATTTTAAAATGTTTTAGTCTGGGTGTGGTGGCTCACACCTGTAATCCCAGCACTTTAGGAGGCCAAGGCGGGCAGATCACTTGACATCAGGAGTTTGAGACCAGCCTGGGCAACATGGTGAAACCCTATCTCTACTAAAAATACAAACATTGGCCAGGGGTGGTGGTGCATGCCTGTGATCCCAGCTACTTGGGAGGCTGAGGCACGAGAATCACTTGAACCCAGGAGCTAGAAGTTGCAGTGAGCCAAGATCGCACCACTGCACTCCAGCCTGTGCAACAGAGTGAGACTCTGTCTCAAAAAAAAAAAAAAGAAAAAAGTTTTAAAATGACAACATCCTGCTTGACTGTTTCGTAAATTGCACTTTTTACTTACCAGTACATGGTGTGTATATTTTGTGTTACTATGTATTTTCTACTCGTTTTTAGTGACTAAATCTTTTTAGAAGGCACAACTACACCACTGATGCCACTCTCTAGTATCTATTTGTTTGAATCTACCAATATTGATCTTTCTAGTCCCTTATTATTGTATAATTAAGTTGTTTTAACCTTTTCCCTATTCTGAAGATAGCTTCAATGAGCACTCATGTTGCAAAATAAATCAGGATTATTAATAAGTGACATATTTCTACAAACTCGCATATTTCTCGGACTTTTAAAACGTGTTTGTTTTGTTTTGTTTTTGAGGTAGAGTCTCACTCAGTTGCCGAGGCTGGAGTGCAGGGGCATGATTTCGACTCACTGCAACCTCCTTCCGTGTTCCAGTGATTCTCCTGCCTCAGCCTCCCAAGTAGCTGGGATTACAGGCGCCCACCACCAAGCCCGGCTAATTTTTTTGTATTTTTAGTAGAGATGGGTTTTCACTATGTTGGCCAGGCTGGTCTCGAATTCCTGACTTCATGATCTGCCTGCCTCAGACTCCCAAAGTGCTGGGATTGCAGGTGTGAGCCATCGTGTCCAGCCCATTTTTAAAATCTCTTTCAGAGCAGTCACACCGATTTAACCTGCCATCAGCCATATATATTTATTAATGTTTTCTCTGACTCACAGAAAACACCACACTTTATAGATTTTAAGGCACAAAGTGATGATGTCTTGTTTTAATTGGCATTTTAAATTAATAATAAGGTCGAACTTTTTTTTTTCATATGCTTATTGGCTGTTTGAATTTGTTCTTTCCTGATTGATCAGCTAATTTACTTTTTTACTTTTTATTATTAGAGTATATTTACTCATTACTGGCTCTCTCTCTTTCTTTCCCTTTTATAAAATCTCTTAACCTCTCACCTGTTGTGTGTGACAACACTTATTTTCAACACCTGCCATTGCTGTTGCTTTTTCTTGAGTGTTGCTTGGATACCTCACTTTTTTGTTGTTGTTATTGTTACATCCGAAATGACTTCTACCATGAAGCCTCCTCTGTTTAGCTTTTTGACTTAGTCTAGAAGGAGAATTCTGTAGACCAAAGGACATTAACGACTTTTTTTTTTTTTTTTTTTTGAGACAGAGTCTTGCTCTGTCACATAAGCTGGAGTGCAGTGGTGTGATCTCAGCTCACTGCAGCCTCCGCTCCCAGGTTCAAGCGATTCTCCTGCCTCAGCCTCCTGAGTAGCTAGGATTATAGGTGCGTGCCACCACGCCCGGCTATTTTTTGTATTTTTAGTAGAGACTAGGTTTTGCTATGTTAGCCAGACTGGTCTCGAACTCCTGCCCTCAGATGATCCGCCCACCTTGGCCTCCCAAAGTGCTGGGATTACAAGCGTGAGCCACCACGTTCGGCTTCAACTTCCTTATTCCGAGTAAAGTGTCCCTAAAAAGTCTTCATTATCTTATATAGCCTGCAATTGCTTTTCCCCAAGTCCAAATTGCAAAACACTCTGAAAAGCCAAAATGTATCCTAGGTTTGCAGAAATTCATTTAGGGACAACAGAGCATCCTGACATAAAGGTGTCTATTTAGAAAATATTTATCGCCCCCAACGGTGTGAACATTCAAATGTTTTAATGCAGAAACGTAGATGGGTCTCGTTAAAGACCAGCTTCAAACCCTGGTGGTGAAGGAGCTGCTACGTATGTATGTGTGCTGTTGAGCATAGTGGATAAAGGTTTTGTAAAAGGGTTGGTGGGTCGAAAAGAATAGGTGGATTTTATCTCTTTGTCTATTCCTTCTGGAGAATTTGCTAGCATCTCTGAGTTGCATTTTTTACTATTCTAATCCTATCTAAAATATTTTGCAAGCTAATTAAAACCTAAGCAAACTAACTTGAAGAATACCAGACCAAAAGAGAGAACAAACAGGGCCAGGCAGCACTCCTTAATTCCACTTTTTCAGCTTTTAAATCACCTCATTTGAAAGTGCCTCCTGGGATCAGTGTGAATAAGACAGGGTTTCCCCTTTGTTTCTTTTAAATCAATATTTGAATCATATCCCTGAACTCTTCCTGCTGGTAGCACCCTGTAGCCAGTGCCCTGAATCTGTCATTTTTCATCTTACAAAACCTGTGTGCAGTAGAATCTTCTAGACCTTCAGGTACCTTCTTTCTCTGCATCAGCTCCCGCTCCCTGATCGGTCCACGCTTGTACTGCTCGATGCTGTCAGCAGCCCCGGCGTGATTCTGAGGAGGCACTGCCCTGTGAGAGCTGTTGGGACAATTGCTTCTGCACAATTCAAATTCATTAAAAAAAAAAAAAGTCATACTGGGGAAAATCAAGTTTTAATCTTTTTCTGTAAAAATTATATCATATTACTCTTGAACGTATATCTGTGGAATTTATTATTATAAATGTTTTCTACAATAGCATTCAGAGTTTGCATTCAGTTAGACTGTGAGAGTATAACAAGAACTACTGGAGTTAGTTGTTATTTCTTCCTATAAAAAGCTAAGTTTTCAGAAATGTTAAATAAGTATTTAAAGAGGCACTCCTTATTGAAAATTGTGAAGCATGTTCCTTCATCTTCCTTCATCTTATTTACAAAACAAAGTCTCTTTTTGTATAGGGGAAAAATCAGCAATTAAGACATTTTCTTTTCTACATATTTTTTAGTGCATGTGTGACCAATAATGGGAATGAAATAAGACATATAATTTAAGTGGAATACTATGATTTAATTGTAGTCACGCTTTAAAACAACTTGGTGACAAACCACAGTATTTGATATAAACAACTTTTAAACTCAGCATAGTCTTGTATGTATCTAAAATGTGTATACTTATAAATTCGGCAGTGTTTTCACACCTTCCGTGAGATGAGAGGTTTAGGAGAAACCTTATCTCACAAATAAAACAATCCTAAATACTTTCCAATTCAAGAACAAAAACTGGCTTGCCTATTAACCACATTGAGCTACATAATTACTGCCTTGCTAATATAAATGTAAACACATTTAATTCAAAATTGATGACTTCAAACACAAACTAAATTTGTTATTATCATATAAAGTGGTTCTTTCTAATAATATACCAAGCATTGTGATCAAATGATATTTTCAGAGAGTAATGCTCCAGCTCAGCTCCTCACTGATATGTATACTTAGAGCTCACTTAAACTTTTGGGGTTTGTTTTGCCACTTTGAAATATGGGGAAAGTAATTCAAGCCTTCCATACACCAGGGGACTGGGAGAATGTGAAATGCCATGTTTTCATGTACCCAATAACCATTTCCTGAACACTTGTTCAGATCCAGAAACCGCCTAGACGTTTGGGATAAAACAATGAACAGGAGCTAGATGATCCCTGTACCACATGAAGCATGCACTCAAGAAGAAATAGGCAATGATTTTATAAACTGTGAGAAATAGCAAAATAATTAACATGGCCATAAAATCATGTCCATGGGATTTTTTTTATTCAAGTGTTTTTCTGTTTGTGCACATGTGTGCACGTTGGCAGGTATGGGGATTAAGTCATCTTTCATTTAATTGAGAAAATTTTAAATTATAGGAAAGAAATTTTTTGTGTCAGAAGTTTGAAAATTCTCTTTGAAAATGGGGTGGAATATTATGTAAAATTCATTAACAGTTACATGAAAAATGTACAGAGTTCCTGGGTCTTACAATTTTATCAGGATAATTGATAACCAACACACAATCTCTTGGACTGGTAAAAATGCTGATGTCTTTTTCTTAAAGAATTCTGTGGTGTCTCCTTCCACACTGACTGGCAGGCGTTCTTCGCTGTCCTTACTTTTTCTCTGTAACTTTTGTTCTGTGACAGCTGCTTGTGGAGGGAATCTGACGGGCCCAGCAGGTGTTATTTTGTCACCCAACTACCCACAGCCGTATCCTCCTGGGAAGGAATGTGACTGGAGAGTAAAAGTGAACCCGGACTTTGTCATCGCCTTGATATTCAAAAGGTACCGTCTCTTGCAGAATACCTCTTTTTAGTAGGATTTTTAATTCCATACCTAAAAATTACTTCTTTTATGACCTCATAGTCTCTAATGTTATATCTAGGTAAGTGCTAGATTTTGTGTCTAATGGAGACTACACCAGGCTGCAAAATGACATAAATGGAAATACAGTATTTTGCTTTGGGGCATTCTACTTAAGATGCACTTGAATTATTTTTAAATACTGTTTGTCTTGCACACAATGTGTCCCATATGAGAAGGCTTAAACAGAATGTTCGTTAAAAATAATAAAAATATGGTATGGAGACATTTGGTGTAATTTCTCATCAATGTCTCCTATCACTCTAAATGCCTGATAGTGAATTCCTTTCCACAGCACATCCTGACGTTCCTGAGGGTAGCACTGCTAATATCATTATAAAATTAAGACTTAATAGAGCCTGGAAAATGAAAGTTTCCCCAAATGTGGTTGCTGTAAAGTCTGAGTTACTACATATCAGTCCTAAAAATATGCTAACTTGTACTTGCTAAACTAGACGATGGAAGGTCTAATACTGTAGTCATTTTATGAAAATAAACTCTTTAAATAATTATATTATTAGTATATGGTATATGATAATTACAATTTATTGAATCCAAAGATGTTTTCTAACTTTAGACTTTGACTTTTGAACTAAATGAATGTGTTGTTTATGAAGGTGAGTCATTCTGTAGACTTTCCTATTGACCTTTCAGCTATCCAAGGACAAGTATCTGGGATTACATTTTTTAATCTGTCAATGGAACGACTTTCCTTTTCTGCAGATCTTTATGTCAGTATTCAAGGCCTGAATGTGTTTACATACCCTCACTTTCTCCTCCTGATGAGATCTGAGTCAGTAGAATTTTACGTTTCTATGATTCTGAATCTTAAGTTGGTTGATAGTCATCTTTTCCTGAATTTACTAAACTGCCACAAATTTACCAAATGTTACTCAGCTATTACAGAAAACCAGTGAACACTCACTGGCTATATTTTTTAGATATCTATGTGGGTTTTGTTAATGTTAAATTCTAGTAGCGTCTTCCTTAAAATTAGGAGGCACCTCTGGTTTCAAGATATTATAAATGGGTTAACAGTTGAAGCCAGGCATGGTGGTTCATGACTGTAATCCCAGCATTTCAGGAGGCCAAGATGGGGAGCACTTGAGTTCAGAAGTTTGAAACCAGCCTGGGCAACACAGCAAGACTCCATCACTACAAAAAATTTTAAAAATTGGCTTGGTGTGCTTGTGTATTCCTCTGGTTCTAGCTACTCGAGAGGCTGAGGCAGGAGGACTGTTGGAGCCCAGGAGGTGGAGGCTGCAATGAGCTATGAGTGTCTAGTCTGAGCTGAGCAACAGAGCAAGACCTTGGCTTTAAAAAAAAAAATGAAATTGAACACAAAACCTTGTTAGTAGGAGTTTCCTCCCTCCCATAAAGTGCAACTCATTTGATGATATGCATATTTAAGGCAGTTTTGTGCAAGGGTTTTTTCACTGCGTTTTATACACCCCTCTGGAAGTTTGAAACAGATAATCTCTAAGCCTCTCCCAACCCATAGATTATGACTTATTAGCCGACCCAATGTCTCAGAAACTTCAGAAATCAGTGAAAACCAGTGACTTCTCTGATCTGGAGTTTGCATGTGCTCAAGCAGACATCTACCTGGGAAGTAGTGAGGAGGGAGAGACCAGAATCCTGTTAGGGGATGAGGATGTCCAGCTTCCCAAGCAGGAGGCTGGCGCTGATGAGGGCTGGCCAAGATGCAGTGTCAGGATGATGGCAAATTCAGGTGTGTTTTTTTTATGGGAGGGTGGGAGTCTGGCATTACTAATGGTAAAGGCAAAGAATCATATGACCTGAAGGACATATGGGCTCCCAGGCTCGTTCAGGGCTGTGGATGAGAGAGGATGTTCCATTACACGTCCCTGTGGATTGTGGGGCTCACACATTGGGGCTCAAATTGAATTTGGTTCAATTTGAGTCAGGCTTTGGCATGCTGTAAGAGCTTAGAGATACGTGCAGCTGGCAGAGGTAGAAATAAGGAGTTCTCCAAAGGAGCCAAAATTAGTTATAAATTTCACTCCAGACTTCTACGCATGAATTTTGGTACAGGCAAAAAAAAAAGAGAGCAGATGGGATATATAGTGTTTGTTTGTTTGTTTGTTTGTTTGTTTGTTTTCCTGTGTCTGGCAGTATTTGCAGTATTGCATAAATTACCAATAATGATAATTAACTAAGCCAAATATTGGGGATATGACATGACCAGATTTTAATAACATCCTTGCCAATACTCTAAATACAATTATTATTCCAATAAAATTCTACGTAACCCACACCATTCCTGCTAGCGCCTATACCTAGTAACTCCAACCTTTTATTCCTTCTTCATTCCTGACGTCAGTGAACTTGTCAAATAAACAGACTAAGACACCTTCCTAAATTTCCTTTAATAAGTATATTCAGGATGTGGAGTGAGGGTATCCTTGACCCAAAACAGGTTGGCATAATGCAGGCTGGGCGTTGCACCGATGCTGGCGGTACCACGTTCTCTGTTCCCCTTCATGGTGCAGTGGACCTTTCCAGGAGGGAACTTCTGTTGCTATTTTATCATCCGAATCTCCAGATCAAGTGGAGCCACCTAGAACATTTTAGTGATTACAAAACAAACAAACAAACCAACAAGCAAAAACCCTGACCTTCTCTGTCTCAGTTGTCCCAAATTTCTGCAGTTGGAAAGGAAAGGGAGTAGGAGCTTTGTAAATTGAGTGCTTTTTAAAGACACATATGAAAAACCTGCTATAGAGAAGAAGAGGGAAGGGGCAGCTGCAATGGATGGATTGGTTGGTTGCTTGGTTGGTTGGTTGATTGGTTTTTGAGATGAGTTTTGCTCTGTCTGTCACCCAGGCTGGAGTGCAGTGGCGTGATCTTGACTCACTGCAACCTCCGCTTCCCGGGTTCAAGCGATTCTTCTGCCTCAGCCTCCCGAGCAGCTGGGACTACAGGTGCACGACACCATGCTCTGCTAATTTTTGTATTTTTAGTAGAGAGAGGGTTTCACCATATTGGCCAGGCTGTTCTCGAACTCCTGACCTCGTGATCTGCCTGCCTCAGCCTCCCAAAGTGCTGGGATTACAGGCTAGAGCCACTGTGCTCTGCTGCAATGGATGGTTTTAATACTTCTACTTTATCAGTTTATTCTGGTCATATCAAGATCTTAGACATCTTAACCAAGCTCAGCCTTTCTCTTAGAGTGTGCGTAGTTTTAAAGCTCAGAGACTCTATCAGCCTACACATCACCAATGGCAAACACAGCCCAGCCCTTGACACCTTTGAATTTAAATTGTTACACTCTTTGGGGACTGACTGTATGTTAATATTAGAGCAGAGAGAAACAGAAAAATGGAGAAAGTGAGAGAAAGAAAGAGAGGGACAGAGAAAAAAAACTGGGATATTCAGTGATGGTGAAACATGATGTGAGAAAGGTTACACTCTGGGCATTGTAGGGGCTATTAATATTCGCTGATTTATCCACGCAAGTGGAGTCTTTTTTTTTTTTTGACAGGGTCTTGTTCTGTCTCTCAGGGTGGAGTGCATGGGTGCAGTGGTGTGGTCATAGCTCATTGCAGCCTCAGACTCCTGGCCTCAAGTGATCATCCAGCCTTAGCTTCCTGAGTAGCTAGGACTACAAGTGTGCACCACCACACTCTACTAACTTTTGTATTTTTGTACAGACAGGATCTCATTATGTTACCTAGGCTGGGAGAACTGCATTTTTTAAGTAAAAATAAAAGTAAGAATAGTCAGTAATTCTACTGACTATTCCAATATTTTGAAATTGCAATATTTTCAAAATTCCAGTATTTTCAAAACTAAAAATATTCAGATAAAGATAAAAGGTCAGTGGAAATGTGTCTCTTTTGAGCTTGGTTCTTTTAAATTACATCTCATTTAGCAAATTAATGAGTACACGGAAAGGATAGCATACCTCTGCTATTATGACTTATTTCCTTTTGGCTGTGGTCAGAATAATATTGTATTGAACATGATGGTAATTAGGCAAATAGTATTTGTCACAATTGATGTATTTTATACTATTGCTATTTTATTAATATTTTGATTCATACTACATTTAACTTTTTGATTGCCCTAACTGAAAAATCATTATACAAAAGCAAATAAAATCACTTTCTGAGCTCAAAGGCTTACCACTCTGGGAGATAAAATATCTGTTAGCCGTATGACATAATTACTATTCTTTTCTTTAGTTTCAACATGGAGCCCAGCTATGACTTCCTACACATCTATGAAGGGGAAGATTCCAACAGCCCCCTCATTGGGAGTTACCAGGGCTCTCAGGCCCCAGAAAGAATAGAGAGTAGCGGAAACAGCCTGTTTCTGGCATTTCGGAGTGATGCCTCCGTGGGCCTTTCAGGGTTCGCCATTGAATTTAAAGGTATTGCGATTGCCTGAATTTGAGTGGGAATTAATTTGTATCAGGACTGTTTTTATTGTAGGCATTGCTTTGTAACATCTTGCTTGTCTGTTTAATACATAAATGCTGATATGTGTCTCCTCTGTCTGGGAAGATACATGTCTCCTCCCTCTCCAGTGAAGATATTCCTGAGGTGCATTTCTACTTTAACTGGAGGAAGAAAGAGAGGGGAAAAAAACTGTCCCAGTTCATGGCCATATAAAAATAAATTGTGGTTTGTAAAATAAAGAATTTGATGACATTTAATAATTATTTTAAGACGGGTTTTAACACCTTATAATTTGTTTCTTCAAGATGATTAAATGTAAGTACATGAAAATAACTTTTTTTTTTCTTTTTTCTTGAGACAGAGTTTTGCTCTTGTTGCCCAGGCTGGAGGGCAATGGCACGATGTCAGCTCGCTGCAACCTCCGCCTCCCGGGTTCAAATGATTCTCCTGTCTCAGCCCCCCGAGTAGCTGGAATTACAGGAGCATGCCACCATACACGGCTAATTTTTGTATTTTTAGTAGAGACTGGGTTTCATCATATTGGTCAGGCTGGTCTCGATCTCCTGACCTCAGGTGATCCACCTGCCTCGGCCTCCCAAAGTGCTGTGATTATAGACGTGAGTCACCGTGCCCAGCCAAAAATAATTTCTTTTTTTTTTTATTTTTGAGATGGAGTCTTGCTCTATCATGCAGGCTGGAGTGCTGCAGTGTGATCTCAGCTCACTGCAACCTCTGCCTCCAGGGTTCAAGCGATTCTCCTTCCTCAGCCTCCCGAGTAGCTGGGACTACAGGCAGCTGCCACCACGCCCGGCTGATTTTTTGTATTTTTAGTAGAGACGGGGTTTCACAGTGTTAGCCAGGATGATCTCGATCTCCTGACCTCATGATCCTCCCACCTCGGCCTCCCAAAGTGCTGCGATTACAGGCGTGAGCCACCGCGCCCGGCCAATAACTTCATTTTATCTCAACATTTTCCATGTCAACATATCTGTACCCTTCCCTGCCTCAGTCAGCTATGGCTGGTTTAGCAAGGTTTCTGACGCTGCTCAGAGCTCTTTTCTTTTATCATCAGATCAGTGATTTACCCTTGATTTGCTATAAACCATTCCCTGCCACTAACATCCAAGGAAAACAGACTGACCTGAAAAACCACCTTCAACTCAACATTTTGCTATTGGGTCCATCAGAATAAATATATGTTTTTTCAAATTTATTTCTCATGTGAACAAAATAAAATACAAGGTGTATTACAAAGAATTAGGGAAGAGGACTTAACAAAATATCAATTCACAGTTAGGAGGGTTTTCTTTAAAAAATGAAAATATTTATATTTATTTACACTTTTGAGTTCAATTTGTGTGAAAAATCTTTTTAAAAAGAACATATTTTATGTCTCTTACCTCATTACCAGAACTGTTTATATAGTTTTAAGTAGAAAATTGGTTTCTTTGCTCCCAAACATCAGAATCTGCACACTTAGGGGTATTTACTAAAATGTACAATTTTAAAAATTATACAATTTAGCAATCAGAGTATCCTATGCCTTTGAGATGGGATCCGTCACGTTTAGGAATAGTTGAAAACAGTACTTTTGAGCCTTTGCCACATCATAATTTAGTTTCTTAACAAGAATTCACTAAAATGCATTTTACCATGACAGTACTTATTCTATGATAGCCCCCCACGCCCCCAACAAAATCATGCAGGCAAGTAAACAAAACAATTCCTCATATAATTGTGAGAATGTACACTGATCATTGCCCACTCTGACAACTCCTGTTCTCCCCGGCATCCTAAGGCACATGAATAAATGGGCCAACGAATGAATGAAGTATGAAGGGCCTTACAGGTTGCATGAAGAAAGAACTTCCTTAATTTTTGTTTGGGTAACCGGTATGGCCATCTAACTGGAGGCTGTAGTTCCTGAGGTTTTAAAAGCTCTCCAGTGGAGTCTGTGAAAAATAAAAATCACAGGAAAGAGAATAGGAATGATGCCATTGCATGCAGCCTGGAGCAGTGATGCCATTGCATGCAGCCCACGACAGTGATGTCATTGCATGTAGCCTGGAAAAATGATGCCATTTCTTCCAGCCTGGAGCAGTGATGCCATTGCATCCAGCCTAGGGCAGTGATGCTATTGTATCCAGCCTGGAGCAGTGATGTCATTGCATGCAGCCTAGGGCAGTGATGTCATTGCATCTAGCCTGGAGAAATGATGCCATTGCATCCAGCCTCAAGCAGTGATGCCATTGCATCCAGCCTAGGGCAGTGATTGCATCTAAGCCTGGTGCAGTGATGTCATTGTATTGCATGCAGCCCAGAGCAAGTGCTGGTGTGGATAGCAAAGCAGGTGACAGATCCAGTTCTTAGGCATGATGGGAAATAGAAGGAACACCAGGCAGTCGTGCTGTGCAACAATTCACAAATCCTGGCTGAGGCAATCCACCTGGCCTCTGATGCAGGAAAGCTCAAAGGTATGCATAAGTGGAACGGACACGGACAACACAAAATACACCCTGTTATGAAGTCATCTAGTTAGAAGCCTGGCAAATTGTAAGCAAAAAATGTGCCAGTGATTTATCACGGAACATCCTGAAGTGACAAGTCAGTAATGGAACTAAAAGATTAGATGCAGTCCATTGGGAAAAAATCCTGCCATCAGAAATCAAAATTAGTGGCATAAAGAAGAAAGTTGTGTAGGTGATATTTAATCAAACAGGAAACTAGACTAAAAGAGATTTATAACAAAAAAATGATCAAAAAGGACACAAGAGCAACAGACATACATTAATAGATGTGTACTGGGAAATTTTTTATTTTCAATAGGGGAAAATATTGTGAACAAGTCCATGCTTCTATTCACTAGATCCTCAGTACATTGTGTTGAATGATTAAATAAAATATCAGAAAAACTGAGCAACTTTCATAGTACTTACAGGTTTACTTATTTGATCTGTATTTGCTTAAAATAATGTTCTATATTCTATATGGGATTTAATGCAGTTACAAAGAATTATCAACATGTCAGCTACCATTTTAAACATCCAAACAGCTTTTCAACAAAGCAATTAGAGAGCACTGGTTTGAAGGCACAAAACAAGAAATGTATATAAAATATATATGTATCATTTAATCTCAAATTCTTAAATGAGAAAACTTATATATATAATATATATTAATATAGATTTAATCAAAGTATGTAAATTATATAGGAAATATAGTTTATTAAATATAATACATTATTATAATAGATTCTTTATATAATGTATACGATGATTAAGTCAATGATCACCAAAGACATCTCTGTTTGGTTGATGATTACACATGGATTATTAAAAATATAATTGAAAATATTGAATAAATACAGTTAATCAGGTCTCTTTTTCTTCCTCCAGAGCTTCCCAAAGTTTAGCATTTTTGTTTTTGCTTTTTCCTCTCCCATTATATTTATCTATTTCTAGCAGGGTGGTAGACTGCAGGGTTATACACTTTTTCATTTAGAGATATTTTAGATGGTCTATTGAAACAGAAAATTAAAAATATTAAGGCTACCAGAAGATAACTGAAATTGACTGCAGAACAACATGACTGAAGAAAAAAGGTTTTGTATTTTTACTTGGGAAGAAGAAATACTTAATGCAGCCAAAAGTGAATGCCTAATTGAGGGGCCCCAGAAGTGGGCAGGTCTCTGCAGGGGGTCTTTGTGGAAGTGACTTAACTTTCCTTGAGTTTTACATTCTTATGATCCTTTCCTGGCAGAGGTGTCCTGGAGATTAGAATTAAACAAGAAATGCACCTAGTTCCATGTCTGGTACATAATGAGCCCTCAATAAATTTCAGCAATTATTTTAACTAAGGTAGAACTATTGGCTGTTAGTACATCCAGTGCACAATGTTTGACCATCATCTATCAGTCAATGTATTTTTTTCTTCTAAGTTTGACGTTTACTCTATTAAGACTAACAACAGAAATACGGTAGTAAAAGAATGAGAACAAGCATCCATCTTCATCTTCTAAGTCTGTCTGTTGTTATTCGTATAAGAAAGTGCTCTTAACTTTCAGGAATTAAACTGTTTCATTTTGAGAAGCCAAATTCTCCAGTCTTTTCTGAAAGGTGTGGAATGATTTTATGTTAATATGTTTGATGTACAAAAGTTAGAAAATGAACCTCAATTTTTCCAGAGTCAATTTTTCTTTGATTCAGTCCTAAAATCTGTAGCCAAAAATGGATAAATATATAAAAACGTAGTACTGTATTTTTTATGTAGATGAAGGTAATTTTATATCAATTCTGTAGCAAAATGTGGTTTTTAAAATGGAAATATAATTTTATTAAAAAGGAATTTTCTTATTTTAATTAATAGTTTCACTTGGTCAATAGCCAATCAATAAATATTCTTTGAGCATTTCTTACTTATTTAGGACATTGTTCTAGGCCCTAAATAACACAATTAAAGAACCAACCCAACAAACAAAAACACAAACAAGAATAAGATCCCTGCTCTCATGCAGTTTACATTCATTTCTTCCACAGAGAAACCACGGGAAGCTTGTTTTGACCCAGGAAATATAATGAATGGGACAAGAGTTGGAACAGACTTCAAGCTTGGCTCCACCATCACCTACCAGTGTGACTCTGGCTATAAGATTCTTGACCCCTCATCCATCACCTGTGTGATTGGGGCTGATGGGAAACCCTCCTGGGACCAAGTGCTGCCCTCCTGCAATGGTGAGTGCACGCTTGGGTATTTTCTAGAAATACAACTTTCCTTTAAAATGCAGCATCTCATTGAAGAAATGGTTTCACATTTCAACACGTATTCCTCTCATCGGTGGTGAGGATTGCTTAGAGAGCTAGTGTGGAACGAATATCAGTCATTCATTGATCATTTAATGCAGCTAGTGTGTTAGCCATTCTCATAGGTTTCTGGGAGGAGCAATATTTTTCCTTCGCTCGTACAGTTTTACATTTTTCACTTCTGTTTTTGTGTGTTCTAGATCTGTTCTTTATAAGAGGTGCTAATTAGCCTTCTCTAGTTACTTCTCTCTCTCTCTCTCTCCATATATAAAATACTTACTTCTAGCCGGGCGTGGTAGCTCATGCCTGTAATCCCAGCACTTCAAGAGGCTGAGGCGAGTGGATCGCGAGGTTAGGAGTTCGAGACCAGCCTGGCCAAGATGGTGAAACCCTGTCTCCGCTAAAAATACAAAAATTAACTGGGTGTGGTGGTGCGTGCCTGTGATCCCAGCTACTCAGTAGGGTGAGGCAGGAGAATCGCTTGAACCTGGGCAGTGAGCTGAGATTGTGCCACTGCACTCCAGCCTGGGTGACAGAGCAAGACTCCATCTCATATATATATATATATATGTGTATGTATATACACACACACACATACACAGACACACATATATATATATGAGATGGAGTCTCATACATATATATACATACACACACACATATATATACATACACACACATATATTTTTACATATATACATATATATTTTAATGTACATATATTTTTATATATATACATACACACACACATATATATTTACACCTATTTATCTGTATATATATAGAGAGAAAAAACTAATATGTATATATTTAAATGGATATGTCATTTCCCCCCAAAACAGCAATAGTTTGTAATTCCTTAGGAATGAAATTAGTAAAATCGTTGAATCAGCTTTCAAGGACAGACAAAACTAACCTACAGTGATGAAGTCAGACAGCAGCTGCCCTGTGGGTGTGAACTGGGAAGAGTGGGAGGGTAGACTTCCTGGCTGCTGGCCAGGGTGCATATCTTCACCTAGGTGGTGGTTTCATGGGGGTCTCTATAGGCAAACACTCCTCAGGCTGTGGACCCTTGACTTGTACCTTTTACATTTTCATGGTATATATTTAAAAAAGAAGAAGAATGAGGTAGAACTTCATGGCTTGTTGCAGAGACATTCATTTCTAGGGTTATTTTAAGATGAGCTCAAAGACCAGTTTCGTTTGATAAATTATGAAACAAATGTGTTTTTCTTAAGACAGCCTAACAATGCTACTGGCAGCTTCAGGCCAAATAAACATTTTAAATATTACTGTATAAGAGACTGGGCGCGTGGCTCACACCTGTAATCCCAGCAATTTGGGAGGCTGACGTGGGTGGATCACCTGAGGTCAGGAGTTCGAGACCATGGCTAACATGGAGAAACCCCCTTTCTACTAAAAATACAAAAAATTAGCTGGGCGTGGTGGTGCACACCTGTAATCCCAGCTACTTGGGAGGCTGAGGCAGGAGAATCGCTTGAACCCGGGAGGCAGAGGTTGTGGAAGCTGAGATTGTGCCATTACACTCCAGCTTGGGCAACAAGAGTGAAACTCTCTCTCAAAAAAAAAAAAAAAGTATATAAGAAACTAAAATCAAACAAGCAAAACAAAATAAAACAAAACCTACTTCCCTGGCGTGTTCTGCTATTTCTATGTTTCTAAGTCCATTCTCTTATGATCCTGAAACCTTTTAAGTTAAAGAAGTGTAGCTGTCTGGACCCAGCAGTAGAGACTGGCACAGAGTAAGAACTTAGGCCAGGTGTAGTGGCTCACACCTGTAATCCCAACACTATGGGAGGCCAAGGCTAGTGGATCCCTTGAGCTCAGGAGTTTGAGACCAGCCTGAGCAACATGACAAAACCCCATCTCTACCAAAAACACAATACAAAACTTAGCTGGATGTGGTGGCTCATGCCTGTAGTCCCAGCTGCTTGGGAGGATGAGGTAGGAGGATCGCTGGAGCCTGGTAGGTGAAGGTTTCAGTGAGCCGAGATTGCTCCACTGCACTATAGCCTGGGCAACAGATCGACAGAGGAAGAACGTTATTTTTTGTGTTTTAAAATCGTGATCATAGGCCAGGTTATGCATCAGTCCTTTCTAGTCATGTTTAATTAAAAATTCTGATAGTGTAGTCATTGTGTTACTTGCTTTGGGAGACTTTTGTGAATGGGAAGTTATAGAGTGTTTCTTTTTTAAGTTTATTAAAAACTAAAATAAGAAGCATATGGGAGCTTCAAATAGAACTCAGCGTGCTCATGGGTGAGGGAGGCAGTGAGCCAGAGTGGCTTTGAGGTAAAGAGAGCCTTTGATCTAGCATTACAGGTCAAGACCAAGGTCTCCCTGGTGCCTGCACAGCCCCCAAAACAGGACGGAGACAAACGAAGAAGTGGGTGTCACTTGGTGAGGTGGGCACGAGGCAGCTGGAAGTCTCTGCCCAGCACCCACCCTTCCCTGTCCTGGCCCAGGGTGGGCCACACCTCCACCCCCTCTTGTCTTGCCACCAGCCTGGGTGCCCCTCATATCCTGAGCGGCCTGGGCAGTGCATGCCAGTGGTTCTGGGTGCTTGCCCTGTGCTCTTGAGGTTGGCCAGGAGCTGCCTGTGAGCTGCTGTCCAAGGTCTTGAGGATCCTCCCTTCTGGACGAGGCATGGCCAGTGCGGGCAGGGCCGGGCTTGTGAGCCAACGGCAGCACTGAAAGGTGCGCCCTGCAGAGTGACCAGATCTCGCCTCACCTCCTCCCGTCTGTGTCACTCCAGACAAGACTCGCAGGGCTGAGAGCGATGACAGTCTCTAGGTCACAAGTGTTAGGAGGATAAATTCCACAGGCATAAGGCTCCCCAAAACTAGTAAATCTTAATTCTGTATGTAACTGGTTTCCAAAACCATTTTGATGTAACAAAGGGCAATGACCTCAAACCCTTTTGATCTGACATCCAATCAATATAACTATTGAGCATGCAACCTCGATCTCTGCCACGCATTACAGGTACTGACCATCTCAGCAGCTGTTATAGACCACACAATTACTACATGAACACAGACATTTACAAAGATGGAATTTTAGACCAGACAAAGCTGCTCATGCCTGTAATCTCAGCACTTTGAGAGACTAAGGCAGGAGGATCGCTTGAGGACCAGAATTCAAGACTAGTCTGGACAACATAGCAAGACCCCACCTCTACAAAAAAAATTAAAATTAGCTGTGTGGGGTGGTGCACACCTGGGGTCCCAGCTACTCGGGAGGCTGTAGTGGGAGTATCACTTGAGCTCTGAAGGTTGAGGCTGCAGTGAGCCGTGACTGGATCACTGCACTCCAGCCTGGGCAACAGGGCAATACCTTATCTCAAGAAAACAAAAGATGTAATTTTGGGTAAAAATTCTAATTTTCTTTCTTGTATCCCAGAAAATGATTTTTGCATCCCCTGGTGTATTTTTCCCCCACTTCAGATATCTTTAGCAATTATATAGAGTCTAGTGTGAGGGAGATAAAAGTAGGTAGCAAAATTGAGGAAAGGTCATGAATTCTGTACTTTTGTTAACTAATAATACAAAAGGCATTTAATTTATATTAAATTCAATTACAGTTGAATTTGTGGGGAGTGATAAAACTTTAGCCATAGAAAAAGCATGGGTAAAGTATTAGCCATAGGAAAAATACCTTTTCTGTGGCTAAAGAAAAAGTATATATGTATACACTTTATATATATATAGTGTATATACATATATAGGTGTGTATATATATGTATAATTATATATAAAGTGTATATACACTTTATATATATATTCCTGTCTATATATTTATACACACACCTATATATTAATTTATACACATATGTATAGGAATTATACATATATACACACGTATATATGTATATATATTCACATATATTCCTATATATAGGATATATACATATATACATATTCCTATATATGTATATTCCTATATATATATAGGTCATATATATGTATATTCCTATATATATATAGGTCATATATATAAAACCAAATTTTTAATTAGAGACTGTTTCAGTTTCCATGTCTGAAGATCTGTGGAGTGAGGCACAATTTATTTTACTAGTCATCAAAGAGCACAGCGCATGAAACACTGATTTCCCCAAATGGAGGATTCCATTTACATGCAAATAAAGCTTTATGTTATAAATCTGGAAAGCAGAGATGGTCTCTCCTGTAGTGCATCTTGGATCCCTCATGGAGAGCAGCACATTTGTGCATGAACCAGCGCCTGTGATTTATTCAGATCAACAGTTAACCTCGGGGCCTTTTGCTCCACTGTAAATCTTTTGATAGTTCCTGCATCATGGGATGCAGTTGGTGCATTTTGGGGCAGTTTGTTTTAGATGCGTGGGGTAATGTTTTTCCTGGTTATTCGTCTATTACCTACAAATTTTGCTTATTGAAGTTTTTTGTAGAATTGTAACTGAAATTGAAGCAAAGTTGAGCCCCTTTCATGGGTCACAATGACTTCTGTTTGCTAGTTTTGTTTACTCAATTTGGTTCTATGTGGTTGCTTTTATGTACGAGATGTATATATTCTAATTAGCCAAATGGATAAGCAAGCTTCTTGTTACCATTAGCAATGAATGCTTTTGTATGTCTTTATTCATTTAGGAAATAATCTGTTTAATATGTTAATTACCAAATAACAAACATTTATTTATTTTTCTTTTGTTGTTGCATTAAAATAAAATAACTTCTAAGGTGAGAAGCACCAGGCCTGTTTCTTAGATTAGCACAGTAATGCAGACATAACAATTATTAAGAATTAAATAGCCGAGTGCAGTGGCTCACACCTGTAATTCCAGCACTTTGGGAGGCCGAGGCAGGCGGATCACAAGGTCAGGAGATCAATAACATCCTGGCTAACATGGTGAAACCCCGTTTCCACTAAAAAATTACAAAAAAATTAGCCGGGCATGGTGGCAGGTGCCTGTAGTCCCAGCTACTCGGGAGGCTGAGGCAGGAGAATGGCATGAACCCGGGAGATGGAACTTGCAGTGAGCCGAGATCACGCCACTGTACTCCAGCCTGGGCCACAGAGCAAGACTCTGTCTCAAAAATAAATAAATATAAATAAATAAATAAATAAATAAATAAACAAACAAACAAATAAATAAAAATTCTATCCATATTTTTCTAACACAAATGTTGTTCATGTATGAAACGTATCATTGTAGTTCTGGTGCTTAGCATTTTGATCTGAGGAAGAACGGACAGGCACAAGCACTATTTATCAAGGTAGTAAAAGACAAAAGTTCTGAGTCAGTTTTCCTGAATTTCATCTTTGACTTTTCAAAAATGTCCTCTACTATCATAAGGCAATGCTCTTTTATTCTATGCTTGCACAAAGTGTTTCTTTGTAGTTATACTTTGAAACATGTATTAGAGTTCTCTAGAGGGACAGAACTAATGGAATAGTTACATATATAAAGGGGAGTTTATTAAGCATTAACTCACATGATCACAAATTCCCACAATATGCTGTCTGCAGGCTGAGGAACAAGAAGAGCCATTCCGAGTCCCAAAACTGAAGAACTTGGAGTTTGACGTTCAGGGGCAAGAAGCATCCAGCACAGGAGAAAGATGTAGGCTGGGAGACTAGGCCAGTCTCTCATTTCACATTTTTCTGCCTGCTTATATTCTAGCCATGCTGCAGTTTATTAGATGGTGCCCACCCAAATTAAGGGTGGGTCTGCCTTCCCCAGCCCACTGACTCAAATATTAATCTCCTTGGGCAACACCCTCACAGACATACCCAGGATCAATACTTTCTATCCTTCAATCCAATCAAGATGACATTCAGTATTAACAATCACAAAACATATGGCCGGGCGTGGTGGCTCAGCCCTGTAATCCCAGCACCTTGGGAGGCCGAGGTAGGTGGATCACGAGGTCAACAGATCCAGACCATCCTAGCCAACATGGTGAAATCCCATCTCTACTAAAAATACAAAAATTAGCTGTGTGTGGTGGTGTGCACCTGTAGTCCCTGCTGCTCGGGAGGTTGAGGCAGGAGAATCACTTGAACCTGGGGGGCAGAGGTTGCAGTGAGCTGACATCACACCACTGCACTCCAGCCTGGTGACAGAGCGATCAGAAGATGTTCTTGAAAAGAATTACTTTACCATCGCTAATAATTTGGGAATCAAAATTTTGGCCCAGTGATGACGTTTCCACTTTTTATTTATACTTCTTGTCTAAAATTTAAAACTAATTGTTTTATGGAAAAAGATCATTTGCAAAATGATATGTTTGAATTGTATGTGACTGAGCGCAAATAAAATATATTTTCAATCTTTATTTGTGCTAAGTTTTTTAAAAACTTGAACTTGAAGCTTTTGAGGAAAAGGAAAGATAGGTCTGACATAACCTGGTTGACTTCACATGGTTAAGGTGGAGAGAAATATCTGAGGGATATATCTGCGTTGGTAGAGTGAGTGATGCCAGCATTCTATTGGAAACCTTCAGTTTTGAAGTTGAGCTTATAGAAATATCCTCCATCTAAAAGTGAAAATAAAATGTTTCTATTTAAAATCATAAAAACCTAAATAGAAGTGTTTTAGAGAAGTGTTTTAGAGTGATAACATGATTTTGAATTAAGACACTAGCATGAAGGCTGAGCTTATTTAAGTAAAATCTCTGCTTAAATTTCTGTCAGCTTTGATGAACAGATCAAAGCTGACAGATGTCTGAGCTGTTTTCCTTTGACTTTTAGAATACAACTTAAGTTTTTCAAGCGATTGTAATGCAGGGATTCAGGAAATTTCTTGACTAATCATTAACAAGTTGCCTTATCCTTAGCATTACCATATTCTAAGGAGCTTAATTCATCATGGAAAATGTTCTGTCCATCAATTAATATTTAACATAATGCTAATTAACATTCAAAGAATTAAACATGTTATCTCTAACTTCTTTATTCTTTGAGGCTTGAAAATTGCCATTGTGGCCGGACTCAGTGGCTCACGTTTGTAATCCCAGCACTTTGGGAGGCTGAGCCATGCGGATCATGAGGTCAGGAGTTCGAGACCAGCCTGACCAACATCATATCTATTAAAGATGAAAAAAAAAAAAATCAGCCAGGTGTGTTGGCGGGCGCCGAGTAATTGCAGCTACTCGGGAGGCTGAGGCAAGAGAATCGTTTGAACCCGGGTGGCGGAGGTTGCAGTGAGCTGAGATCATGCCATTGTACTCCAGCCTGGGTGACAGGGCAAGACACCATCTCAAAAAAAAAAAAAGAAAATGAAAAAAAAAAAAGAAAATGGCCATATCAAGAAGAAATGAGCTGTAGAAATATAATCTTTCTGAAATACTGAAGCTAATTCTGAATTCAAATCAGTGGCGGTATATCCAAGATAGGAAGTGCAGTCAGGCCACAGCCAGCATGGTAAGGGTGCAACAGGCTGTCCTGAGTGGCTCCCACGCTGGTCATTGCCCTATGTTAAACAGATGAGGGGAGCTGACTTGGCCCCTTCTCATGTAGAAATATAATGAAATAGAGTACTGGCAATCTAAAGACTGGATATCAAATGGCTGGGATTTAATTGGAGGTCTCTTCCATGATGCTTTAAAAAGTGCATTGAACATCTGTGTACAGTGTTTTTCATTTTCTCAGCAAAAGTGAAGCCAAAGTAAATAAGATAACTGGGGGAAAATTAAGACATACCCACACATTCACACAGACATAACCCCCCACACACACATATACACACACACACAGACATACCCCCACACACATACACCCACACACACACAGACATAACCCCACACACACATACACACACATACAGACATACGCCCCCCACACATACACACACACACACATACACACACAGACATAACCTCCCACACACACATACATACACACGCAGACATACACCACACACACATACACCCACACACACATACACGCACAGACATAACCCCCCCACACACACATACACACACACATACACCCACACACACACATACACACACAGACATAACCCCCCACACACACATACACACACACAGACATACCCCCAATACACACATACACACACACCCCAAACACACATACACACATACCACACACACAGATACACACACACCCCACACACACACATACACACAGAGACATACCCCCCCACACATACATACCCCCCACACACATACACACACACACAGACACACACACCTCTCTATATTTTGTAAGCCCTAACTTTCTAATGATGGATTCTTTTAGTTTTAAATTGAACTCATAGGAAGAGACCCCAAAAGCATTAGTAATTATGCATGTTGCTTTTACTGAAACTATAAGATGAAACGTTAAAACAAAGAAAATCCCCTAAAAAACAAAACATTTTTCCTTTGATTCCCATATTAATATAAAAGTGATAGAAAACTGAAATAATCTTTGTATCTCTTAAGTTAATATGAGGATTGACTTCGAACAGACAACTCCGCGAGACTTTCTAAAATAATTTAATCATTTGTCTTTATAGAACCTATTTTATTATTATTATAGATGTTTCCCTTATTATTTTAATACATCTGAGACAAATGTCTTGAAAATAATATTAGGTTTTTCTCCTAAGTTGGATTACTTCTTCCCTGGTAAATCTTTGTCTTTCTATGACTTTGATAGCAATGCAAAACAAGATTTTAACTTCTTATTTTGTCAAGTTTTCAATAAACGTGCTCACGTGTTTGATGTGTTTCAGCTTTGGCTCACCTATCACCTGCGCTATTATTGCACAGCGACTAATTCTCGGTTGATTTTATTTTCAGCTCCCTGTGGAGGCCAGTACACGGGATCAGAAGGGGTAGTTTTATCACCAAACTACCCCCATAATTACACAGCTGGTCAAATATGCCTCTATTCCATCACGGTACCAAAGGAATTCGGTAAGGATGTCCTTGTATTTTTAATTCATTGTCATATTTCCTTTCAGTGTTAATTTTTCTGTCATTTGATAAACAAGTATGCTAGAGCTTAGTGAAATATTTCATATAAAAGCAAATGAGTTGCATTTAAGTAGCAGGCCTTCCAAACATATCCTGCACAATGTCCATTACAGTCCTTTTACCAATGTGATATTAATGCTCACAGTCCCCTCTAGGGTTATGATCCGAAATAATCAGAGAGAATTAATTTGGCTTTCTTCTTAGGTTTCCCAAACATAGTTCTTTCAGTTGGTTGTTTTTATGAGCAACGGAGGATTTCTCATAAAGTAGTGGGTGGGTCAGAACTCTGTGTATATGTCTGTGCATGAATGGCACATACATTCAGTGAACTCAGTAACCAGATCATGATCGAAATCACTGCATCCTTGAGTCAACCTGTAAGTGCTGAGGGACGGAGAAGCAGGCAGAGTCTTGACTGTTTCACCTGCTGAACCCTGACTTCCTGTTTCCCTCCTAAACATTGCTTCCAATTCCAGCTAATTTTCCAAAATGACTTCATTTCCAGAAGGGCCTTCCCTGGTCGCTCTGCACTTCATTTATGCAATGCTCACTCTCACTCTTGACCAGGACAATTTATCTTGGATCAGATTCTTTTCTGGAGTAAACCAGATAGTAGCTGTCATCATCTTAAAGACTATGTCCCTCTTTCCAATAGGAAAATTGAAAACGCTACATAGTCAAGGTTTTTATTTATGTCTGAGACAGCACTCACTCTGCATATAAAGCAGGTAAAAATTCTAATGTTAGACGTATTTGAGATAAAGCATTTTTAACATGTGACAAGAAAGATATTTGATGTGTAAGAAACTTGTGTGTGGGAGCCAGTGTTTTTGTAAACTTCTATTGTGTCATGATTCCCGGGCCTCTTACGAATGTAATGCACACCCTCCCCAAACCTTGCTGTTCCCTTTGTTATGATAAATGGGCAGTAATACTTAAAATGGGTTCTGGATTCCAAATTTTAAGTTGGACCAAATTCTTTAAAGTCCCTCATTTAACTTTAGCCTTAATTCTGAATTTGAATGAAATAATTTTTTTTTTTTTTACCTAAATGCTCAGCAGTATTCCCCTGATTATCACAAAAAAGTCTTCTGTTCATGGAAACATGACAAAATATATTTATTACAATGGAATTTAGCAGCCATATTCTATGATTTTAGTTAAATACAAAATATTATTGTCATCATTACACAATTAAAAATTTTCAGCTAAAGAAGTCATACTCATATCCTAAATATCGTTTATAATTTCCCAATTTGAAAAGTTTAATCACACAAACGATCACATCCTATCTGGCAGAAAGCTTCAGCGTGGAATAACGTAGTTACAGCGAATCTTTAATGAAAATGCATTCTGTCTCATCTTTTACTTTCTTCCCCCATTCGTTACTCTTTCCTGATAAATAAACTAATTAACTAAACAATTAATCTCACAGTATTTGTAAGTACAGGGATGCAAAGATGAAAGGAATCTGGTCCATGTCCCTGGCAGGCTTATGGTGAGGGGTGAGGCAGATGTGCAATCCAGACACTACGGGGTGATGTGATCCTTACCAGGTAGGAAGAGGCTGCTCCCTGTCTGTCAACACAGGCTGAAAATGCGAAGCGATATTATTAATAAGACAGGTCTTCAGATAACCCAGTTTCCTCTATTCTCATCCAAAAGCATAGCCAAGAATTCTTTCTAAAACACAAATCTAAGCATGTTAGTATCGTGATAAACATCCTTAGTCACTCCTGTTATTTATGGAGCAAAGTGTTTGTTTTCAGGGTGGCCTTTGAGATCCTTGCCACAGGCCTTTGCATTCCAATCCCCCTGTTTGTTTTTTATCCACGGAGTGTTAGCTGAAGTTGACTATTTGCTGCATTTGTCCCCGCCACCATTTTGCTTTTTGTATTCCGTTCGCTGATATAATTTCTTATATTCCATTCTTCCACTAATCCTTCTTGCTGATAGTGCCATCCCCTCACCATGAAGCATTGACAGTTCCCGCGGCTGAAGCCCCATAACCCTTTGTTTGTTCTTCTCATCACATTCTCATGATTTCCGGCAGCAGCGTAGATAGCAGTGAACAGCTTTTCTCTCTTGGCAATTGAGTTTGCTCACTGGGACTCAGTGTGTGTGACGGGTTAGAACCCAGGTGAAGGAGGTTCCTCAAGGAAGACGTTGGGGCCATGTCCAGAATGAGCTGGGCATTCTGGCTCCTGACATCTTGTACTCAAAATCCATGTTTGTCTTGGAAATTACCAAACACGTTAGAGCATGATAGTCCTAAGACCATGTTACTATCCCCTTCCCTCCTTTTTTCTTAGTTTCTAGTATGAGGTGGATGTCAGCTAAATATTTCTTGAAAAAGAGTAGAAATTATCTGTGGATGATTCACTTTTGTGACCCAAGTTTTGGGCCTCCAGTATGATAAAAATCTAATGAACTTGGGGAGGTGGTGGGTGGGTGAGGATGGTATGAGCAAGATCTGTAGAGAAATTATTAAGTCCTCTCCCTCTCTAATTCCTGAAAAAAGTTTTTAGAGCATTTCATCTATTGGGAAAATTCACCTAGCCTACATGCCTTCTTTGTGTTTTTCTCTGGGAAATTATAAAATCTTAAAAGACAAGTTATATTAGATATGTGTGTATGGAGTTGGTTACATAAATATATGTATGTGTGTCTATACACACATGGGCACACACACTGTTACAGTTAGATTACTTCCGTCATACTAACAAATATTAACAGTAATTGTTTCCGTTGGAATTCTGACACACACAACTAGTGCACACACCTCCATTTCTTGTTTATAATGGCTTAGAATGATTGTAGTGCAAATCTTACAATAAATAAGAAAAGAATTAGTTGTTCATTGCTTGTAAGTATATACCAAATCACAGGTTTTCCTGCAAATATAAAGGCCCTCTGTATCGTCAATCTGAATACACAGCATCAGTTAAATTTGAAGTCACAAAGCATGTAGTTATGTTTCACTTGGAGGAGGTGTGTTCACACACCTTTCATAACCTGTAGGATACATGAAATTGTAGAGTGGAAAACAGCAAGGGATTCCTATTATATGCCAGAGAATCACGTGTATAAGTCAGTGTGTATGAATACGGCAACGTATTAATGTGAATTTGGCATTATAATAATCTTTTGTGAGGAATTTTAAATTCCTCATCAAATCATCATGGGGTTTGATCCTTTGCTTATTTTTCATTGAATAAAGTGTTGCTAAATATTTGAAAATATAGGGAAGTCTTTACAGATATTCTTTTTTTTCTTGAGACAGAGTCTCACTCTGTCGCCCAGGCTGGAGTGCAGTGGTACAATCTCAGCTCATTGCAACCTTCGCCTTCCAGGTTCAAGCCATTCTCCTGCCTCAGCCTCCCAAAGTACTGGGATTACAGGCGTGAGCCACCACATCCAGCCCATATATTCTTAATGTTGTGTTTATTAAAACAAAAACATTCCTCATTTAATGTTCAAATTGGAAATAAAACAGTATTTTTTCTTTTATTAAATGCCAAAAGTCAAGAAGCAAAGTAAAATAGTTTTGTCAACTGAAAACTTAGAAAGCAGAGAAAATAAGTTAATATTTATTTTTTTACCAAATTCTTAGGATAATGATCCATTGGGGCAATTAATAGATATTCAGTGAAATCAAAAATCTCCATTTTGTTTTCTTAGAGCATCTTGTGCCAACATCCCACCTCTTATTTTTTAGTGGTCTTTGGACAGTTTGCCTATTTCCAGACAGCCCTGAATGATTTGGCAGAATTATTTGATGGAACCCATGCACAGGCCAGACTTCTCAGCTCACTCTCGGGGTCTCACTCAGGTAAGTCTTAAAGAATTTTGCCCTTAATTTAGTTCAGACAGCTAGGGGGATTAATTTTTAACTTGTCTGTTTCTTTTGCTTTGTTTTGATGAATGAGAAATGTAATCATTTTTGAATTTGCGTGTGTGCTTAGAAAAATCTTATTTTAGATATAAGATCTCAAAAGTGTTTTTATCTCACACATAAAATCACGTGCTTTTATCATCTTACTAAGATTGCAGAAAATATAATATTTATCTCAGTAAAAGGTGCAAAGATCCGAAAAAGAGGGTGGGATAATCAACTATCATCTGTGTTTAATTTTGTATCCCATGTGTCTTAACCTTCCTTCTGGAGATAAAAACGATTAACATTTCGGTCTAAAGCATTCTAAGCCTGTAAGTCCTACATAGAGAGACCCATTAATAGCCACACATGTACACGTGTTCACATGTATACATGCATACATTTATCCACACATGCAAATACACATGAGCCCCCATAAAACATGGAATGTTATTTCACAACTTATTTTTATCCCATTCTTACCCTTAAAATCACATACAGAAGTCTGTCTCTAACAAACACGGTATGCACCCAATGCCCTTACTCTGAGTTCTGAATGGTATTCAGTCGGTTTAATATAGCACAATTTAACCCCACTTTTAATTGATGACCTACCCCTTATTTGTACTGATACATTTTCATCATTTACTAAATCAGTTTGGTACTGGGTACATTTACTAATTTGCCTAGTAAACGATATGCGTCACAAGCTTTGACCAATTAATGTTCAGATTTGATTATATTTCCAGGTTTTCTCTATTTTATTATTAACTAAAAGTCTTAAGACCTATGTTTTGTTATTTTCTACCAAGGTTCAATGATGTATCTAAGAATGCATCAGAGGATACACATTAAATATGTTGATTATTAGTAACACATTGTCCTCTGAAAACCTTATGCCAATTCACACACCTCCCACCACTGCTTGACACAGACTCTTCCACATTTTATATGCACTTTTATATATTTTTTATTTTTATTTTATTATTATTATTATTATTTTTTTTTGAGACAAAGTCTCACTCACTCTCTTGCCCAGGCTAGAGTGCAGTGGCACCATCTCGGCTCACTGCAACCTCCATCTCCCAGGTTCAAGCGATTCTCCTGCCTCAGCCTCCTGAGTGGCTGGGATTACAGGCATGCACCACCACGCCTGGCTAATTTTTGTATTTTTAGTAGAGACGTGGTTTCCCCATGTTGGCCAGGCTGGTCTCAAACTCCTGGCCTCAAGTGATCCACCAGCTTCAGCCTCCCAAAATGCTGGGATTACAGGTGTGAGCCACCTCACCTGGCCTATATGTGCTTTTAAAGGTTAAAAATATACTTCAGAAGGCCTTTTCTGAATCTTTTAATTTAAAAAAAATCATCTTTGGATTCAGTTACTTTTAAAAATTTTTTAAGTAAAATTATTTTAATTTTAACTAAAATCAGAGTAAGGTGATTCTGAGCAAATGATTCACCCTTTACTTCTGTCTACTCTATTATATAGGCCTACCATTGGTGCTTTCTTCAAAAGAAATCATAAGCGAAATAATGATTACAGTATATTTTAATCAAATGCACTGCCTATTCTTGCCTAGGACAGAGTTTTTAATCTTTATAAAAACAACATATTTGAGTTTTAAACCATAAAGTGAAAATGTTTTAAAAGTTCAAAAAATAAATGTGAAATTTCAACTTTATCACCATTTTCCAAAATACTACCGTCCCCCACGGTGCTGTGTGTTTTCTGAATCTGTCTCTGTTTTCGTTTCTAGGGGAAACATTGCCCTTGGCTACGTCAAATCAAATTCTGCTCCGATTCAGTGCAAAGAGCGGTGCCTCTGCCCGCGGCTTCCACTTCGTGTATCAAGGTAAGCGTCACTCCACATGTCTCCACATGTCACTGTGGTCTTTCCTGATGCTGCACCCACGGCTAGTCTCAGACAAAGCACTCAAAACATCTCAGCTGCATTTTTGTAATATTTAAGGAGCTGAAGGTGTTCATATGTTTATAATAAAATTATTTAATAAAAATATTACAATTTTTTGACAGTTGAAACTCATATTTCTACTACAAAAACACAATAATATCTAATTTATCAGGCACTAGAAGGGAATAAATATTGATCATATTACCTTTCTGTAGCTCTTCACATCTCGTAAGATGACTTCAAATACAGTATTTTATCTAATTACGTATTTTGAAATAGTTGAGATCTTAGTAACAATATAGGAAATATGTTTAAAATGCATTATACAATTTCACATTTTATTATAAAAACTAAGCTTAAATGGAAATTTAACAAAACAAAACAAAAAACAAAATATCACGCATGCATCTCTTATCCTAACTAAATACCTATTTTATTTTGTTTGTGTTTTATTAACTTTGGGTACTTTTACACCTTTATACTTATCTTTTAATTTAAACCTTTTAAAAAATATTTGAGATTGCTCAAAGATTCTGCAAAGTAAAGAATTTTCTCCTAATTTGTTTCACTTTTGTTTTGCATTGAAAAAATGACCACATAAACTGTTCATACACTTTCAGAAGCTTGGATTAAGTCTTTGCGTGGAGCTTGTCATGACTGTAAAGGTTGAGATCTGGAAGAAATGATCTTGTTCAGAGATAAACTGTGTGTTCAAAAATAAAAAGCAATATTTTAGTTTTTCTAGGTCTCAATTTTGCTGGAGGCTACAGATACTAATGGCCACTGTTAAGTATTTTCTTCAGATCTGGAGAAAAATTTTTTCTTAGCAATGGTTTCTTTCCTTTAATAAAGATTCCTCCAGAAAACATTATTGATACTATTACGTATTTTTTAAAAAGGTGGAGTATAACAGTGTTATATTATGTATCAATCGTTTCTAATCATCTCAAATTGGGAAATTCATGACTTCAAAACAGTTCAGTGTAAAAACCCTTCAGTTTTCAGCAATTAGATCATTTAAAGAGTAATGGGAAGAGAATGAGGATGATGCTTAACAGTTAATCAGGAGACAAAGATCTCTCTGATCCTGTGTAAGTAGCCATTGAATGAATGGAGATGCTAATGCATTAAAAGGTGTTACATTGTTATAAGTTACACCTTTTATTAAAATGTAAATAATTACCCAGTAGTTTTTAAAAATGGACTTTATTAGAGAGTGGCCTGTTGAAACAACCCGTCTCTTACTACTTCTAATTTTTTCAAATAAATTCTATCTGACTTTGCAAAAGCAGAATCACGTTTAGACCAAAGTATGTGAGATGTGTAAAGAAACTGGGCTGCCTCAACATTTTTTCTCCTGGAAACACTAAAGTGACTGACCTTGTCTGCCTTTATAAGGGGCTTTCCTTGGTTTTTGATAAAGATTATAAAATCTATCCCATCATCAGACAATATATTGCATGCAAATATCCTGGTGTCTTATATGCAAATGTTGTCCTTGGTAGGCATGTATTTTAAAAATTATGCTTATTTAAAGTAATACGTTTTCATCAAAATGTCAAAGATACGGAAAAGTAGAAAGAAAAGAACATCATTTATAGAGGAAATTTATTTTTCTTGTCCTCAAGAGTATATGACGACTCTAACATCCTCAATATTTTATAAATTTCTAATATACCTCCTTCTCTTGCTTTGCTCCTACTAGTGTGTTTATGCAGAAAATTGATGTCTTTTTGTCAAAACTAAGTTTTTTTGGAAGAACTAGAATCATAAATGCAACTTATAAATTACTCAACAGCAATGGTAAAAGTTTTGCATACACATGAAAAGTTAAATGGAACATTGCTTCTTGAAAGACAGTAGTTCCATTGAAGCCTAAAAAGTATTTGAAGCCGGGCACGGTGGCTCAAGCCTGTAATCCCAGCACTTTGGGAGGCCGAGGCGGGCGGATCACGAGGTCAGGAGATCGAGACCATCCTGGCTAACATGGTGAAACCCCGTCTCTACTAAAAATACAAAAATTAGCCGGGCGTGGTGGCGGGCACCTGTAGTCCCAGCTACTCGGGAGGCTGAGGCAGGAGAATGGCGTGAACCCGGGAGGCGGAGCTTGCAGTGAGTGGAGATCGCGCCACTGCACTCCAGCCTGGGTGACAGAGCGAGACTCCGTCTCAAAAAAAAAAAAAAAAAAAAATTATTTGAGCTATATTATAGAAAAATATTCTAAACAGTGCTTTCATACACCATTACAGCTTCATTCATTCATAAACAAATTCAGCTTCAAATTGCACACAGACTTTATGTCTTCCGTGGTTGTAGGATAGCTAACCCTTGTTAACAGACACAGTTCTGTTATAAAGAGCTGCTGGGGTCTACAGTGAAAAATGTTTGCAACAGCATCAGTGTGCAAAAAAACGTGTGACTCCAGACATGCACAGATCATGGTCTCTAGCCTTCTGCTTCCCACCCTCCATGTCATCCTGGTTAGTAATGTGAAGACAGAATTAATGATGATGTTACCATCTTTCTGAACTTCTGAAGCAATGTAAGTCTAGAGGCTCTTTAATGCAGTATTCTAGTTACTCTATGCAATTGCTGGGTTTTTGTGTGTTTTCCACACTTCTTGAGAGCAGAAGGGTACATTTGGAAAGCATGAGAGAAGAAGGTGTGAGTGACATCATGGGGTGCCCCAGAGAAGGCTGTGGCCAGTGACCCTTCAGAAAGGGATAACCCTTCAGCATGGATGTATCCATGGTGAGCCAGCACTTGCCAGGAGCTTCTCTTATCTTTAGTTTCGTGCCGTTGAATGAACGGGCATGGTCATTATCCACTCTCCCAGGAATGAAACTCTCACAACTCACTGGTCTCCAGTGATGGAAGGAGCAGTATGGAGACTGAGATGAGTGACCTGCATTACCAACAAGTTTCAGTGATTATGGAGCACTGTTTGCAGCTGTGGCTCAGGCATGAGTCCTGCCTGCCCAACCTTTCACCCCCCTCTGAATCAGCAACCACTTCATCAGCTGTGATATAATCAAATAGAATTGAGAAGCTAAAGCTATGGTGAGAAGCTGGCATGAAAAGAAATCTAATTATTCCCCTCCTGAAGTATAAGAGTATCTGTAATGGTTTTGTTACCAGAAAGGGGTGCGGATCCAGACCCCAAGAGAGGTTCTTGGATCTCGCGCAAGAAAGAATTTGGGGCGAGTCCATAGAGTAAAGTAAAAACAAGTTTATTAGGAAAGTTAAGGAATAAAGAATGGCTAATCCATAGAGCAGCAGCATGGGCCACTCAGCTGCTTCTACTTGCTATTATTTCTTGATTATATGCTAAATGAGGGATGGATTATTAGTGAGTTTTCTGGGAAAGGGGTAGACAATTCCTTTAACTAGGATTTCTCTCCTTTTTAGACCCTTTAGGGTAACTTCCTGGCATTGCCATGGCATTTGTAAACTGTCATCGTGCTGGTGGGAGTGTCTTTTAGCATGCTAATACATTATAATTAGTATATAATGAGCAGTGGGAATGACCACAGGTCACTTTAGTCGCCATCTTGGTTTTGGTGGATTTGGGCCGGCTTCTTTACGGCGTCTTTTTGTCAGGAAGGTCTTTGTGATCTATACCTTGTGCCGACCTCCTACCTCATCCTGTGACTTAGAACACCTGACCTCCTATGAATTTAGCCTAGTAGGTCTCAGCCTCATTTTATACAGCCCCTATTGAAGATGGAGTCACTCTGGATCAAACACCTCTGACAGTTTAAATATTCCAAGTCTGAACCATGACTACATTTTTTCCCTGCATTAGCAAGCTTTCTTGAAGACGTGGGAGATACACAATTCTTGCTTTTAAATGTTGAATATGTTCAGCCTTGTACATTTGCTTTTTGGCATCAAGCAGAAAGTGTTTTATACCAGTTTCTTAGCTCCCGGGAATTCCTCGAGTGTTCACAGTGGAGGAGACTCCTGTAGCTTCCCCTCTTCTCCCTAAATTCCCTGGTCTTGTACCATCAAGCAGGGACTGGCAGGACCTGCATTACTGGCCGTGGTTATACAGGTTTAGGGATCTTTGTCATTTCACAGAAAATATATTACACCGAAAATCAACATATTCTTAGACGCAATGCAAAAGCCGAACATCACACAAACTGTTTCTTAGTAACTCCAGCACAGTCTGCTTCTTCCAGGATTAGAAGAGGCCATTGATTCTATGCCATTAAGTAATTACATTGCATTTAGAGACTTTGCTTTGGCCTGTAATTCACGTCTTTCAACATTAGAATCAATCCGCCTGAAAACAGAGGCCAAGAGAGGCAGAGCCCACATCCTTCTCTTTCCTGCCTGCTCCGAGGCTCCTGTGGATTTAAGACAGGGTGGTCACAGCTGCCCACCCTGCCCTGTCTTCTCCCGCATCCCTCTGATGTGCATGATTGACTGTGTCTCAGTAAACCTTCATGTTGGAGAGTACCTCATCCATGCTACTTTTTTCAATTGTCTTATATTTATGCCTGGCTGTTTTCATAAAAGGCCTATTTCTGTAATTTGTTTCAACATAGAATTCAATGCTGCTTTCAGTTCCTTCCAGATCACACAGTCACACCAAAATGAGTAAACTGCAAGGATTTACTGTACATTTTAAAGGGAAAAGGAAACCATATTTCTATATTGAACCCCTTCCGCAGTGCCCAGCTTGTAAATGTCTATTGGCCAGGACTTTTTCAAGTCATGTTTTCCGGGTCACCATCTCTAACCTGGGTTCTCCTCTCCCAGGCTCCTCACCTGAAGCAGCACCTGCATCCCAGGCTCAGGAGCTCAAGGCTTCTTCTTCCAGGGTCTTCTGCTGGAAAGACTCAGTCTCTTTAGCATTCATGGAAATATAGTTAATTAGGCCAGTCATGGTGGCTCATGCCTATAATCCTAGCACTTTGGGAGGCCAAGGCAGGCAGATTATCTGAGCTCAGGAGTTTGAGACCAGCGTGGCTAACATGGCGAAATCCCATCTCTACTAAAAGTACAAAAAAAAAAAAAATTATTAGCCAAGTGTGGTGGCATGTGCCTGTAGTCTCAGCTTCTTGAGAGGCTGAGGCAGGAGAATTGCTTGAACCTGGGACGTGGAGATTGTAGTGAGCCTAGATCACACCACTGTACTCCAGCCTGGGTGACAGAATGAGTTTCCACCTCAAAAATGAAATGAAATAAAATAAAATAAAATAAAATAAAATAAAATAAAATAAAATAAAATAAAATAGTTAATCAGATGGTCTCCTGAAAATAAACAGACCTAAAAACACAGAAATATTTTTTTCTCAGTTTGGGTAGGAAAGATGTACATTAAGAATTTCTTTACTTGAGGTTATTTCTGGGCAGGCAAATACATGTTTTGATTGATTTTCCCTTGGTTTCTTCTTCTTTTTAGAGGGCATGAATTATATGGCTTAGTTGGTTTTCCACATCTAAAAACTCACATTTGTGTCAAGAGCCTATAAAAAGCATATTCTTTGCAAAGAAGAATAAATGTAAAATTTTGCTTGCAATTCAGTGATGTATGTTTTAATTCATTGACTAGTAATGGCTTGTCCAACCTGATTTTCCAACGATGAGAGAGGAATGATTTTGAGAGAGAAAATGTCCCTCAGTCACTACATCAAAAAGAAAACTGCTTCACTTAGGTATTGCAAGTGAGTCCTACATGCACTCAGATTTATTTTATGATTGTTGTTGTGGTTTTCACATCAACTGTAACAGAGGTGCAGTAAAGGAGCAGCATGTATCTGTAGCTTAGAGCATTTGTGGTGTTGAAGGGTGATCATCGAACCTGTCACAACATGCTTCCGGCTTTTCCCGACAGATGAGCACACATTTGCGCTGCTTCCCACTTTCAGCACCTCAAAGCCCCAGAGGAGAGCGTTCTGCCTCTGAAGAAACACGGTTGTCTGGCCTGAGAAGTCAATCATTTTGTTGATCACCCTCTATTCCAGGCTGACCTCATTCCTGCTCACTTTTCCACTGGCCCGATTTCAATTTGGCTTCACAGCAGTGTGAAATATTTACTAAAGGATAGAGAATGATGACGACAGACAATAGAATTTTTCTCTCGGATGCCGTCTGAAATGTCCAGGTGAAGGGCCAGACCCAGAGGACGGGCGGGGAGGATGAAGTTACACAGCACTGTCTGATTTCCACCCACCCGCTTCCCAGACGTTCCGTGGAGCTGTGATGTCTCAATTCCACAGCTTCTCCCTGCCTCCCTATCCTACTGTCTCAAGTCCTTACAATTGGTGTCCTCACTTTCCAAACTTCTTCCTCTAAAAAACATTTTTCGTCTTGTTATCCAGATGCAGGTGTTATTCATTTATTGTCATTTTCCTTGAAAATAGACCACTCTGAAATTCATGAAGAAAGTTAATAGTGACTTGTGTACAAATGACCCTTGGTGCTATATTTCTCCTCATTTTGGGAACTTGGAAAGATAGTGATACCCTGTATCTCTCAAAGGTACAAATATGTTTGCATAGCTCTCAAATATATTTGTATAGCTCCCAGATATACAAGTGACAGATGCAATACCTGAAGCCTCTTAGATAAGTGCAACCTTTGCCACGATAGCAGGTATTTTGTAAGCAATCCAGTGTAAGTAGAAAAACTGGCAATAGCGCTTCATTTTGTGGAAGATCCTTGAGATGACTGTGGAAGCCTCTATGGGATATCTTTTTTTTTTTCTTCATGCCATTATTCAACTCTAATAAAATACTCAAGCATGCAAACATGACACAAATAATTTCAAGAAATATTATGTTATATGGATTGAGCATCCCTAATCTGAATATCCAAAATTCAAAATGCTCCAAATCTGCTTTGTTTTGAGCACCAACATGACTCCACAAAGGAAAAATTTCACACCTGACCTCCTGTGATGGACAAATCACAATAGAAAATGCAGTCAACACTTTGTGTCATGCACAAAATTATTTAAAATATTGTATTTGTATTTCAAAATATAAAATATTGTATAAAATGGCTGCCCACCAGGACTTCTCCGTTGTGCCAAAGTGCTGCTTCTCGTGCCTCTCTCCAGGCTACATAAATCCATCTGGCTCGTGACCTATTTAAAGGGCAACTTGTTTTATGGGAAACAATTGAGTAGTAGCCAAACCATGACAATTACTGTGTTTCATAAACTAAGTCATCATCTTAACAAGGATAAAGCACGTGTAGAAGGTGTATCAGACTATGTGTATAAAGCATGTATTAGACATCATTGAATTTCATGTTTAGACTTGGGTCCCATCCCTAAGATATCTCATTATGTTTATGCAAATATTCCAACACCTACAAGAATTCCAAACCTGAAACACCAAACGTTTCAGATAAGAGATCCTTGACCTATAATAGAATATTATCGTTATTCTGTATTTCATTTTTAGCTTGGAGAAGAATGATTCTGATAAATCATTAATTATTTTCCACATCAGTGCTGTTAGAAAGGTAGACACTTTTATTAATTTTGCCTTCTGATAGAAAATATCTCAACACCAAATTGAAACATCGTTTAATCAAAATAATCTGCCAATTTCCGTTTTCATGGAACTGCTTCCCCAGCAGCAGTTACCCAAATAATGTCTGTCGTTGGTCTGATTCAACAGAAAATAAATAAATAAAACAGATTCCAGTGTGTCAGAAAAAGCCGTGGGAAGATAGAAGGGTTATTTTAAGGGAAAATTCATATACGAGAACATTCTGCTAAAGGACTGTGCATTTAGGATGAAGAAACACAAGGACTGAGGAGGATAGAATCCCAGAGACAGTACCTAAATACTGTCTTTTTCACTGCAGAGGACAAAAACAAAATAAGCAAATTTCAAAGGGCATAACTATTTTCAGAGTTTGCCTAGTGTGATGGACCTCTTTGCCAATTGAAGTATTTTTTAATCTTTATCCCACATTCCTTTTGATAAACAGGAATATCTCCTGTAGATGGTAATTTCTGCCATACAACCTGAATAGTTATCTCACCCACACGTTGCACTGATACTTACCTGTCAGTACCCACTATCCAAAGCCCATGAGATACACACACGTCATTCCATATCCCTGGGTTTTTGCTTGCTGCAACAATGAAGGCCTCCCATTTTACAGAACCTAGGAAAGTCTCATCAAGAGAGAACTGGAGGGGCTTGCTATTTTTTCATTTTTTACTTTATTTATTTTTTTCTCAATCTTTCACCCAGGCTGGAGTGCAGTGGTGTGATCTTGGCTCACTGCAACTTATGCCTCCCAGGGTGAAGCGATTATCCTGCCTCAGACTCCCGAGCAGCTGGGATTACAGACATGTGCCACCATGCCCGGCTAATTTTTGTATTTTTAGTAGAGACGGGGGTTTCACCTGTTGGCCAGGCTGATAAACGAACTCTCGACCTCAAGTGATCCACCCTCCTCTGCCTCCCAAAGTGCTGGGATTACAGGCTTGCGCCACTGCACCCGGCTGGGGCTTGTTAGGATTTGAGCTCATCCTAGGTGACTTTAGAGAGGACTAAATGCAACATGATGGCACGTGGAGCAGGTGTTCTCATTAGAAAAATCTACCCTCTTAACTATAAACACAGTGCTGTAGAGCAGGTCTCCAGGGCATACTCATTTTATGTAAGTGAAACTTTATAGCCACTCAACAGTTGCTTCCCATTTTCCTGTTCCCCAGCCCCCAGTAACTACCATTGTAAATCTCTCTGGTTCTATGAGTGCCACTACTTTAGATCTCCCCATAGAAGTAGAATCATAAGGTATTCGTTCTTCTGTGGCTGCTTATTTGCTTATTTCACTTAGCACGATGTCCTCAAGGTTCATCCGTGTTATTACAAATAGCAGAATTTCTTCTTTTATCTACTCCACGTTTTCTTTATCTGTTCATCTGATGATGGACATTTAGGTTGTTTGCACATCTAGACTATTTTGAAGAATGCTACAATGAATGTGAGAGTACCGATTTTTCTCTGGGATCCCAATTTAAATTCCTTTAGATAAGTATACACGAGTGGGATTGCTGGATCTGATGGTAGTTTAAGATTTTTATTACATCACGATGGCCATATTATAACAAATCCTTCATATGGTAGCTTTTCTCATTAGACTCAGAGGCCTGTGAGGACAAGTACGCATGGTTAGTCATCTCATTATCACTAGCAGGATGATTAAATGTAATCGCCTGAATATCAATCCGTCCTCATAAGGCACTGAGTCTTTTTATGCCGTTTTCCTCATCTGAAGTGAGGACACTGAGATGGTCCTGAGGGCGAAGTACAGTTGGGAACGTGCTCCTCAAATCATTCTCTATAGCGATTGTTGGAGGCTTTATTAACTTCTCTATCTGCACCAGCTCTGCGTGGTCCCAGCGCCTCAAATCATTCTCTATAGCGATTGTTGGAGTCGTTATTAAATTCTCTGTCTGCATCAGCTCTCCTTGGTCCCATCTTAAACCCACGTTCCACGCAACGTCCTGGCTTGCTGATGGAGATACAGACGGCTGTGTTCTGTACTTTGCTTCTAGCTGTTCCTCGTACCAGTGACACCCAATGCAGCTCTGTCCCCGAGCCCAGATACGGAAGGAGAATTGGTTCTGAGTTTTCTGCCGGCTCCATCGTCCGATTCGAGTGCAACCCGGGATACCTGCTTCAGGGTTCCACGGCGCTCCACTGCCAGTCCGTGCCCAACGCCTTGGCACAGTGGAACGACACGATCCCCAGCTGTGTGGGTGAGCAGTGTCCCTAAGCGGCTGCCCGCCAGAACTCTGTGGTGGTGCCAAAGAGTTACTTCTCATGTTTCTATCCAGGCTACGTAAATCCATCTGGCTCATGACCCATTTAAAGGGCAGTTTGTTTCATGGGAAGTAATTGAGTTAGTAGCCAAACCCTAAAAATTATTGTGTTTCATAAAACAACTCATCATCTTAACAAGGATAAAGCATGTTTCCCTTCTCCATATTTATGAAGTAGGCCATCAACTCTAAAGTTATGGGTGTGGAACATAATCTCATTTTGGGAAAAAACCATTATCATGTTGATTTGCTATATTACTTGTGTAACGTCCTTTTAATAAATTGGTGCTGATGAATCTTTGAAAATTAATAGGTAAATGCAGGCTGAATAACAGTGACCTTGTTAGTTATAGTTTACCTGCTTCATTTTGTGTGGAAAGCTCCAGCGCAATCATGATTAGCACTTGAATCATTTGTACATTTTAAGCGCCTCTTCTCTTGAATTTGCTCATAAATCCCATTAATATCATTTGGAGATGCATGTCTGCATGGAGAAGAGAAAACTCTGCCAAGGTCCTTAAATTATAGTAGGTAAATTATTCTAAACAGAATTCACTTTGGAGATGCCATCATTGGACATCATCCCTTCTTAGAGAACTTGGATAGATTTATTTATAGACTCAAGATCTATAACTGAGTAGCATAATAGGTAATAATTATTTTGCTAATTTAAAAGAGAATACACTGAATTTTACCTTGGCTAAAAGTGCCGTTTAACGTATCATTGTTCATGTACATTTTCTCTTACTGTGTGGTCACACAGTGAAAGAAAACTGCATGCCAAATCAACACTGTCCCACAGCACTTTATTTCATGACATATGGTTGTGTCTTTTAGTACCCTGCAGTGGCAATTTCACTCAACGAAGAGGTACAATCCTGTCCCCCGGCTACCCTGAGCCATACGGAAACAACTTGAACTGTATATGGAAGATCATAGTTACGGAGGGCTCGGGAATTCAGGTGAGTCCTTGAAGTCCACAGTCTACAACAGGGCTCAGCTGGGGTCCATGGGCTTCTTTCTTTCATTCTTTTGTTCTATGTTTCTTTCCATCTCTCTCTCTCTCCCTCTCTCTTTTTTCCTTTTATACTGGTTATTTTAAATACATAGACTATACTCTGTTTCCCTTTTCTTAGTATTTCAACAAAATATTTCTAACCATTTTTCTATATTTTGAATAAATATAATCAATTTTTTAAAATAAAAACTATCAAAAGTACCATTTGTAGAAATTGTTCTTTCAGCCGTGTGCATTGGCTCATGCATGTAGTCCCAGCACTTTGGGAAGCCAAGACAGGAAGATCACTTGATGTCAGGAGTTCAAGACTAGCCTGGCCAACATGGTGAAACCCTGTCTCTACTAAAAATATAAAAACTAGCCAGGCATGGTAGTATACGCCTGTAATCCTAGCTGCTAGGGAGGCTGAGGCAGGGGAATTGCTTGAACCTGGGAGGCGGAGGTTGCAGTGAGCCAAGATTGCACCATTGCACTCAAGCCTGGGTGACAGAGGAAGACTCCATCTCAAAAAAAAAAAAAAAAAAAAGAAAGGAAAAGAAAAAGAAAAATAAATTGTTCTTTCATGGTTTGTTTTGTTTTTTTTAAATTTTGCCATGTATATATAGATAGATAGACATGTAGATGATTTTCATGATTAAGGTATATATATATAATATTATGGCATTGGAGGCATTATTAAGGTGTATATGTATATATATATGGCATTGGAGGCATTATTAAGGTGTATATGTATATATATATACATATACATATGTATATATATATACATATACACCTTAATCATGAAAAACCCCAAAACCCCATCTAATTAGACTAATTGTGTTAAGCCAAAAATAAATATTAACTTAATGTCATGGTTTGGTAGATCCAAGTGATCAGTTTTGCCACGGAGCAGAACTGGGACTCCCTTGAGATCCACGATGGTGGGGATGTGACCGCACCCAGACTGGGAAGCTTCTCAGGTAAGATGGAGTCAATTTCCTCACCTGTGTGACTCAAAATCTGCAAACACCAAGAAAACAACATAAATAACAGCAAACACTCCACATAGAAATTTTCCTACACAATTCTTCTATCTCCATAATGGTTGCTCTAGTGCTGAAAGTCTTAGAGTAAGACCATCAAGAAACAGGTGAGTAAAAACAAAGCTGTGTTCTCCACGAGGAGGAGACCAATCTAAAAGTGTCAGATAGCAGAGCTTTGACATGCGGCAGGTCTCAGGCTGGCAGCAGAAGCCAGGAATAGTAATGTGAGGTAGCAAAGAGGCAGAGGTTAGGAAACGGTTCTCAACTCTTAAAATGCACAGCCTGACATTAAGCAATCTGGGAAAATTACACTGAGCATGTGGGCTCAGCTAGTCCTGAGATTCTACCCTACTCATATGTAGCCAGGCACGAAATTGTAGTCCACTGCAAGTCCACCCTCTCTTAGTCTTCCTTGCACCTCCGACTCTCACGAATGCACCCGCCTTGACGAGTCTGCTCTCCAAATGCCCTGCAAGTCTTCCCTTCCCATTGCCCTCGAGCGTCATTCAATCTCAATTTTGCTTTTGTTTAACAGGATATCCTGCCTCCAGATGCATGACACCGCTTTCTTTCACTTTGCTTTGTAATAGCATTACACTGTAATAGCATTAGGACTCAAACTTCATGAGCAGTGATGATGATCAGTATTGCGATTATCTCCCTGGTCATCACTGTCCTCACAGTTGCCCACATTTCCTGAGCCTTTACTTTGCCAGTTATGAACTTCTGTTAACATGAATGCTTAATTTTATCTTGAGTATGGCCAGGTGCAGTGGCTCATGCCTGTAAGCCCGGCATTACATTGGGAGGCTGAGGTGGGCGGATCACCTGAGGTCAGTAGTTCGAGACCAGCCTGGCCAACATGGCGAAACCCTGTCTCTACTAAAATTACCAAAAGTAGCCAATATGACAGCACCAACTAAGTTCTAAGGGATTATTGCTATCTCTGTTTTACCAATGAAGAACAAAGATTAGCTACTAGAGAATTGTCCAAGATGACAGAAAAAGTACTGTTTTCCATGAGTCCCTTCTTGCTTGCAGTAGCTGACTCCTTCTATCCCATTTGTCTGAATTCTGTCAGTTGTTTATCTCTACTGCAAAGGGAGGCTGGAATATATATTTTTTCTTAACTGTGGATATTTTTTCCCTAAATATTTCCGTTCTACTTTTACTCAATAGGTTAAAAAACATAAAGAAAATAGATAGCGCACAGGCCATTCACAGTGTCTGATACAACTTCCATTTTATCACTTCAAATGGTTCAAAGATCTTATCTCTGGTTCTCAGCAAATAAAACCATATTTTTATTTGGGCATGGCCATTTAAGGTGTTGGGAATAAAGTGCCAATCTATCATCTTATTGTTATCTGTCATTCACAATCCATGTTTGTCTGCCTGTGTACTATTTATACTTTTAGGAACTTTTATTTCAAATAGCCCATTACTGTCCTTAAAAGCTAGAACTCAAGGCCCATCTCCACCAGGAAATCCCTCTTTCTTCCCCTGACCACATAGCTCTTCCAATAGTTTAGTTTAGCATGTGATTTCTTAAAGTACCTGCTAGATATCAGACACTGTGTTTGTTGTTAGGAATACAAGATAAGGCCTCTCTCATTAAAAACATCATCAACAACAACAACACAAGTTAAAATCTACACAGATGCCAACACTTAATGTAATTATATAAATAATATTTGGTAAATAGACAGCATTACAGGTAGGTGATGGGTGTTACAGGAGGGAAAAAAGTCACACTTTTTTTTTTTTTAAGATGTAAGAGAAAAAAAAGCTACCTGGGAAAAATAAATTAAAATATCTTAACAGATTAGTAAAATATAGCTAGACAAATCAGAGAGAGACAGGAAATCCTTCAAGTCACGGGAGCCATGCAGTCTGTGTCTGTTTCTCTACACTCAGATATTGAATTGTGTTGCTCATTTTTAAGTAAAGTGTTCTTTTAGTTTGTAGAGATTTAAGTTTCTTCAGAATCTATATTAATCTCTGAGTGTCATGCACAATTCCTAGCACCTACCTCACAGTTTATGAATTCAGTTGGTAAAACCTGCTTAGAAAGTATGTGTCTTGCCACGTTTTGTCTGAGGATCAAATCTTATCATTCACATATATTTGGATTTATCAACTGCTGTACAGCAACCTCATATTAAGCCTTCCCTCGAGTAACTATCACAAGTGAACTTAGCTTCAGATGTGTAATAATTTCATATATCCTAATATTAGAAATAGGTTAATTTTTCAAAAGAGAGTATTAAATATTGAATTGTTTTTAACCTAATGTTCTCAGTCATAAATCTGTGACAGAACACATTTTACACACAAATGCAGGCATTACCAGCAGAAAGCAGGAGACGGCAAAATTAAGACAGCTGCATGATGGATTAGCCAAAGTTAGCAGGGAAATGCCTTACTAATAATAGTGAAAAAAAGAAGTGACCACATTGCCTCTGTATGCATGAAAAATAACAACAATCTCCTTTTTATTAATTTCAGTTTTTGGAGTTAGCCAGGAGAAAATTTGAAAAAATATGTTTGACATAAATACCACTGCAATGCAATTCTGACGCTAATTTCCTGGAGTTAGCACGGAGTTCGTGCACTTCATGCTTCTCCACAGGACTCCCCTCTGACGTCAGCTGCAAGCCCTCGGGGCCTCCCAGGCCACCTGCACTCTGACCAACTGGCTATAAATTTAGGGGGTCCATGGTCCCTTCAGTTCTTGATAGTTCCCTAGAGTACCTCACGGAACTTGAGAAAGCAATGGACTTATACATATGATTAAGACTATATTATAAAGGAGACAAACCAGGACAAAACAGGGATGTGACAGGACCTTGAAAACAAAGTGGTAGCCTGATGCACTTAGGCTAGATTTTGGAGCAGGGACTTGTCAAAGAGCATTCTATCAAAGGTGTGCACAAAAACATGAAACTGCTAAAATTTAAGGGTCCGGATAAGGTTGGAGAATGAGCTTATGTGAAGTAAGGAGTCAAGGACTCAAAAGTCTGAGACTATTGGCTATCCTGAGGCAGGAAAGGAATTCCCAGCCATGGTAAAGATTAAATTTCCCCATCTCCATAGGATGAGTCCTGAAAGCACAGTATAGATCAGGAAGTTGACCTAAAATTTTATTAAAAGACACGTCGTATGCCCATGTATAGAAATAAAATGTGCAAGCATTATTTAATTGTAAGCAGGTTATTTTGTGTGCAGAACAAATGCGTAAGAAGAAGGCAAATATCCATTCTGAAGCTCAGTTGATGGCTATTTCATTAGCCCAGGCAGGAGATGAATGTGATAAGAGCAGAACTGAAGACAGATTAAAGCTGTCACAGTCATATTTTGCATGGCACCGTTGGTCTGCTCATTGCCTTTAAGGATTTGATGAGGTTCAAGTTTTTGAGGCTGTGTCCTAATCAGGGAAGGTTCTGCTTTGCACGAAGTCAGAGAATAACTAGTATGTTTGGAAAATGAGTTAGTAGTTTATCTGGCTGATAAACTCATGTTTATTGAATTGAGTGAGTGGCTTAGTTTGGGAAATAAGTGGTTATATTTGAATGAATAGAAATAGGAAAGTCAAAGTGAATCAAAGGAGAAGGAACGAACATCCCAGGCCTATGATACAGAGCCTCTTGAAGCAAGAAAAAATGATTCTGAAAAACAAGTAATGATAAGAAGCTAGAAAAGCAAGCAGCAGTCAGATCATGCAGGGTCTTTGGGCCAAATCAAGGAGTGTGAAATTTGGTCCTAAGATGATCAGGAATCTATGAGAATTTTAACATGTCTCATCATATATACATTTGTAAAGTGTTTTCTGACTGCTGAATGGAGAATGCATTGAATTAGGAAAAGATCAGGCTCAAAAAAACAAGTTGGAAGATTATTGCACTAATTCTGGTTAACATAAGGCTGCCTGCACTGGGGTGATTGTTGTGAAAATAATATGAATTAAGTGAAATAATTTGGGAAAATATTTAGAATGCACGCCAGTTAAGGCGTGATGACTGATTGGAGGGCAGTCTGGGGTCATGGAGAAAGAGGAAGCTTTGAATGTGATGATGTGGATGGATGCCAATGGTATTAAGAAACAGTAGAGACCTACTCGATGTTTCAGGGATGGATAGATTAGGCGTTCAGTTCGTGACGTCGGTGGATGCCGATGGTATCGTTAAGAAACATTAGAGACCTACTCGATATTTCAGGGATAGATAGATTAGGCGTTAGAGACCTACTCGATGTTTCAGGGATAGATAGATTAGGCGTTCAGTTTGTGACGTGGATGGATGCCGATGGTATCTTTAAGAAACGTTAGAGACCTACTCGATATTTCAGGGATAGATAGATTAGGCGTTAGAGACCTACTCGATGTTTCAGGGATAGATAGATTAGGCGTTCAGTTCGTGACGTCGGTGGGTGCCGATGGTATCGTTAAGAAACATTAGAGACCTACTCGATATTTCAGGGATAGATAGATTAGGCGTTAGAGACCTACTCGATGTTTCAGGGATAGATAGATTAGGCGTTCAGTTTGTGACGTGGATGGATGCCGATGGTATCGTTAAGAAACGTTAGAGACCTACTCGATATTTCAGGGATAGATAGATTAGGCGTTAGAGACCTACTCGATGTTTCAGGGATAGATAGATTAGGCGTTAGAGACCTACTCGATGTTTCAGGGATAGATAGATTAGGCGTTTAGTTCGACACACTTCATGTTTAAAAAGCCTCTTCTAGGCCGGGTGCGGTGGCTCATGCCTGTAAAGCCAGCACTTTGGGAGGCTGAGGCGGGCGGATCACGAGGTCAGTTGATCGAGACCATCCTAACTAACACGGTGAAACCCCTTCTCTACTAACAACCCCTTCTCTACTAACAACCCCTTCTCTACTAACAATACACACACACACACACACACACACACACACACACACACACACACACACACACACACCTTCTTATAAAGAGACAGCCAGAGTCCCCCGAGACCATCCTGGCTAACACGGTGAAACCACTTCTCTAACAATACACACACACACACACACAGAGCTTCTTATAAAGAGACAGCCAGAGTCCTTCTCTACTAACAATACACACACATACACACACACACACACACAGCTTCTTATAGACAGCCAGAGTCCCCCTTCTCTACTAACAATACACACACACACACACACACACACACACACACACACACACACACACACACACACAGCTTCTTATAAAAAGACAGCCAGAGTCCTTGCCTGGGGTTATTGGTCTGATCAAATCTCTTGGGGGCCGGGTGCAGTGGCTCACACCTGTAATCCCAGGACTTTGGGAGGCCGAGGCAAGCAGATCACTTGAGGTCAGGAGTTCGAGACCAGCCTGGCCAACATGGTGAAATCCCGTCTCTACTAAAAATACAAAACTTAGCAGGACATGGTGGAGCATGCCTGTAATCTCAGCTACTTGGGAAGCTGAGGCAGGAGAATCCCAAGATTGTGCCACTGCACTCCAGCCTGGGTGACAGAGCGAGACTCCATCTAAAAAAATAAAATCTGTTGGGGGATATTGGATAGTTTAAGTGGTGAGCTAAGGATGATAGACAATCTTATCTTTTCAATAATGTTCATCTGTTTGGAATAATTATCAACTTATTTCTTTGCTTTGTTATTTAAATTATCATTTCTCCCTTTATACAGCAGTACTTGAATAATTTATCTACACTGTGGTTATTTTTACACAATGGATAGTTCTTTGACATCGAGTATGTCTACACTTCCAATTTAGAGAATGTTTTTACTAGAGTATTGAACATACATCAGGAAAAAAGTGACTTAAACTTGTCTATTATTTTTCCATATTATGATTCATTCCACCAAAATGTCTCAAACTTCTGAGTGATGAACGATTTTCTTTTCCTCAGCACCTGCCAGCATCATTACTTCTTTCTTACCCTGGTCCTCGGTATCTGTATTGCCCTTTCCAATCGGTTAGTTACTGTGATGTAGGCTAGAACATTTTAAGTAAAGAAATCACTATGTCAAAATAGCCCTATATATTCCTTTTCATGCATCTTTAGTTGAAATCATCAACAGATCCAGGGGGAACATTACTAAGCATGAGTCACATAGGGATCAGGAAGAGCATATATACAGGGTCAAAAGCAACGTCTTCTGAAGGATATGTCAGATCACTATCCACAGGGTCCGACTGCTCCCTCAACCCTCATTACTCTTGGCTGTTGAACTTTTCTTTCCTCTCTGTTCATGTCAAGTAAAAAAATAAATTTAAGAAGCAGAAGATTACATGGATAAAACAATGCAAAAAAACCTCATGCTACAATAGGAGTTTTTGTACAAGAGAAAGGTGTCACATCGACTTGAGCAGGTCAGAGCAGACAATGGGTAACTTTTTATTGTACCTAGAAAAATAGAATGGCTGAATACATAATAAAACCAACACTCAGATTAAATATCTGGTAATCAGACAAACTGTAGGGATTTGTAAGCCTAATAAGTATTCTCATATGTTTTATATTTAGAAAAGTGAATGTATTTGTAGTGTTACAATTCTATCTGCATTGTTTCTTACAGGCACCACAGTACCGGCACTGCTGAACAGTACTTCCAACCAACTCTACCTGCATTTCCAGTCTGACATTAGTGTGGCAGCTGCTGGTTTCCACCTGGAATACAAAAGTAAGGTCAACTCTTTCTGTATACAGCTTCCACTGTTATACTGAGTCATTTTTTTAAAGAAAAAATAAATCATGCTCTTATTAAACAGTGAAATATTATTTTTCTAAAACTGTGAAAGACTTGCATGAAATTTAGTGTTATGAAATCTGGCTCTACGAAATACATAAGCCAGTTGCGGTGACTCATGCCTATAATCCCAGCACGTTGGGAGGAAGAGGTGGGCGGATCACCAGACATCAGGTGTTCAAGACCAGGCTGTCCAACACGGAGAAACCCCGTCTCTACTAAAAAATAATAATAATACAAAAAAAAATTAGCTGGGCATGGTGACGGGCGCCTGTAATCTCAGCTACCTAAGAGGCTGAGGCAGGAGAATCACCTGGGAGGCAGAGGTTGCCATGAGCCAAGATTGCACCACTGCACACCAGCCCGGGTGACAGAGCGAGATGCCGTTTCAAAAACAAACAAACAAACAAAAGAAATATACATTATGAGAGACAAATTAATGGGTAAATGTATAAGTTCAAATCTCAAGTAATTAGATATAACTGCTATAATTTCAGGTTGTTTGTATTAAAAAGCACAAAAATGAACCACTTGTAATATTACTAGTTTTTTATGAGTAATTAAAAAATACTCATATTAGCATTCCCCAGAAGGTGGACAATCCTGACTTCTGCCTAGATTATGGTCATAAGCCTTTTCTGTTTCTAGTCTCAAAGGCAGTTAAAATAAGAACGAGTAGAGAGCTGTTGCTCCGGAGCCTGCATTTGTGTGTTATTCATTTTAATTGGAGGAAGGCATCGCACAGTCGACTCTAACCTTTTAAAGATGGATGTGAGACAGAGTTAATAGTCTGATAAATGGAATGACAAAGGTCAGATTCACAGATCTTTTTTGGCGTTTGATTATGCAGGTAAACCTTGTAAAAGCGAAATAAGAATTTCCAATGAGAGTAAGGTTTATTTTAGGACCTGTTTTCAAGCACTAAAAATGTTTAACGTTGATATTCATCTCCTTTAATAAGCAGTTGCAAATAAGCAAATACATGGATAAGCTTTAATAAGTGATCTTTTGAATTGAGATAAACAGTTTGCTACGATGTAAATGCATGCATATTTTTGAAAGGCCAGATTGCCAGCTGATGATAAATATTCTAAGCCAGGCACAAACCACAGGGCTGTTTCACATTCTGGTTAAATTTTCCTGCTTATTATGGGCATTTGTCTGCAAGTTTATTTCAATTTATATGAAGAGGACTACTTCAGTGACAGTATAAAATGATACTGTGGATGTTACTTATGTAGGATGTGTCTGGAAAATCTGCTACTTTGATATACTTTGTGACTCTCTGTAGATAGAAAAACATAAGCCTTGTTTATGATAGTATTTAAAAATTCACTAATAGTTTTGGGGGAGTTAGTATTGATGAATGCTCTTATCATTCTCAAAGTTATCCTGTAGCATCTGGGTTTTTATTCCTTTGTCTTGGAAAGAGGGGCTAGTGAAATAATTCATCTATGCTTATTATTATATACAGTGAGATATGCACTTACCTGGGCTTCAGCCCCATCAATATAATTATCTACATTTCTCTTTATTCCTAGACAATATCATTCATTAAAAAAGAGAGACTAACATATTTCTCATTCAGATGAACTTTGAGAATCCAAGCTTTTGTTTAATTATTTAATGTATTTTTTAATTGGGCTAAACATAATGCCACATTTTTGTTTGTTATTTTCTTTTTTAAGTGGTTGTTTTTTATACTAACACCATTCTGATAGTTTATGCCATTCAGTTATTAAGAGGAACTCATTTCTCTGTTCCTATTCTTCATGCCAGAATTTGAAATATAGATTATAGGCTGGGCGCGGTGGCTCACGCCTGTAATCCCAGCACTTTGGGAGGCCAAGGCGGGCAGATCACGAGGTCAGGAGATCGAGACAGTCCTGGCTAACACGTTGAAACCCCGTATCTACTAAAAATACAAAGAATTAGCCAGGCGTGGTGGCGGGCCTGTAGTCCCAGCTGCTCAGGAGGCTGAGGCAGGAGAATGGCGTGAACCCGGGAGGCAGAGCTTGCAGTGAGCCAAGATCGCGCCACTGCACTCCAGCCTGGGTGACAGAGTGAGACTCCGTCTCAAAAAAAAAAAAAAAAAGAAATATAGATTATAGAAAGTATTTGTAGAATTAACCTTACTACAATTAGCGTCAAATGGTATCAGGACTGTTGATGTAAATCGCCAAAAGATTTTCTGATATCTTAAATTTGTTGACATATTTTTGCATTTATTTTAAGATATGGACTGCCAATCTACAAATCTCTAAATTCAGATTTTTATTTTATGTCCATGAAATAAAAATGGAAAAAAAAAGTAGACGCTTACTCTATGCCAGGTCTTGCTCTAAACTTGTTACCGCTTGTTACTTATTTGTCCTTAAAACAGCCCTATATTTTTGAAGTCTGCTCATTTCTTCCAACTGAAGAAACAGAGCATAGAGCATTTTTAGCCTTCCTGGGTCCTAGCCACACTGTTAATAACAGATGGCATGCAGAGGCAGGCATGAAAAGTGCATTTTATTACGAATACCATTTACTGAGCACCTTGCGAGGTATCCAGACTACCCTACCAGGAAGGTGACGTATAGATGGCTGTTTTACAAACAATGACACCAAAGGTCAGTGCTCTCTGAAAAATGTCTGGAGAATCAAGGAGCTTGTGAGTCCATACTGAGGATCAAGTATGCCTGGTTCTAAAACCTGGGCCATTAAGGCTTATCTACATCTACTTCTATCTCAGGAGTTCTTTTCTCATATAGAAATGAAAACAAGGCCCCCTTAACCATAGTACATCCAAATGGACACTGGTGGAAATTTCTCAAACAAAAACCAAACACTTATATTTGAAAGATGGGCTGTAAAATAGTAATGGTAGCAAAAGCAGTTCCAAGAAAGTCTGGTTTAATGTATATGATCTACAGTCTCAGGGATCTTACAGAATCCTCTGGTTTAATGTATATGACCTAGATTCTTTGTAATCTTACAGAATCCAAGTAAAAGCTCAAAAAGATTAGCATCTTTGAATTATTAATATATTCTATAGCCATTTAGTCTTCGTTCACGTTATTTAACTTAACTGGACATGTGAGAATTAACACAAGTGTCACTCTTGTTCTGCGTTCTTTTCTAAAGAAAACCAATGAAACCAAGACAAAATACATATCCAGATATCTTAGAGTGCAACTGTGTGAACGGTGATAATATTGATTTATCCTGGAAATTACAAAGCCTGACCTCAAGGTGTACAGGATGGATCTTACTGCTGGCCAACAAGGTGGCAGTGACTGTTATTGAACTCAGTATTGATCTGGTGGAAGCTGGTGGGAGGAACAACAAGATTGAACACACGGGCCCCGAGACTGGAGTGTTTCTATTTACCCCATCTGTTTTTTTATTATTTCTTCCCACATTCTCTGACAGATTTTGGTGTAATTAAGTATTTCTATTGCCCCAGTTATCCCTACTATGGGCTTATTAGGGAAGAATTTTTAATATTGTAATGGTCTCCTAGAGATTGAAACACACCTTTTATAGAGCAGAGCTTACCTTCAAATAATCTTATGTCACTTTATGTATAATATGAGATCCTGAAATGACAGGTTTTGCTGCACCCCTGCAGTGGTTTAAGATTTGTGTTTCCTAAGAGCAAAGCTTCAGGGACATGCATGGTGTTTCACGCCCTTCTCGTCACAGAGCCTCTGCACTGGGGGCTGGGAGAGCTCTTTCTGGCCTCCAGCTGTGCCCCTAGGCTTTCTTATAGCCCCCTGATAGAGGCCTGTGGGTGGAAGGGCACACTCCCCATGCGTCTGCATCCAGAGTCACACGAGGCCCAGGCTCCACTTGCGACAGTTGGTGTTTATTAAGCTGATGATTCTTTTCTGGTCGCCTTTCCCCATTGTTTTGCTTCACACGTAGCATGCGGCTCTCGTCTCTTCTGGGGGAGTTTGTCCTTTAGAAATGAGGTCACCAAGCTGGGCATGGTTGCTCATGCTTATAATCCAAGCACTTTGGGAGGCTGTGGTGAGTGGATCGCTTGAGCCCAGAAGCTCAAGACCAGCCTGGGCAACATGGCAAAACCTCATCTCTATAAAAACTGCAAAAATTAGCCAGGCATGGTGGCCTCACCTGTAGTCCCACCTACACAGGAGGCTGAGGTGGGATGATCCGTTGAGCCCAGGAGGCCGAGGCTACAGACAGCCATGATTGCACCACTGCACTTTAGCCTGGGAGACAGAGCAAGACCCTGTCTCAAGAAAAAAAAAAAGAAAGAAAAAGAAAAAGAAAGAAAGAAAAGGAAATGAGGTCACCAGGGTACCTGCCACGCAGCTCCCTGATGGGTTCAAGAAAAGCTATCATTTTATACTTCAGTATTTTTACGTTGTTAAAGTGGGAGGGATGTTCTTTTTTGCAGATCTCTACATCCCAAGTGGATGGGATTTTTGCATTGTTCTAGTTCACGGGGTTTTACAATGTAAGGATCTGAAAATTTCTCTAGTAGGTTTTAAAATTACTCTAGAGATTTTAAGGGTCTTAGGGGTTTGAAAATTGCCCTAGTTCAAAGATAGTTATACCAATACTAAAATATTTTTTAGGTTAACTGTGGAGAAGTTTTTTTTGAATGCACACTTTTTAATGAGATCTATCTATCTGTCCCCCACATAACTTTAATATAGTGATGGATTTCATCATAACTGTGAAAACATTCAGAGATGTTCACAGATAAATTACAGAATTAAATTTAATGTATATTCTCATTAAAGATTAATTATTAGCAGAATGGTTCCCTCTAATTAAGAATTGCTTTCCATTTAGAGATGGCTTACAATAGAAAGTATTTTGATTTTAATATATAATAATACTTGTTTAATAATCATATTTTTCACTTTCAGGCCTTCTTCACTAAATTTGACTATTATTACGATTCAGCTTATACGTATTTCTGTCTTTCCAAGTTATTTCTAATTTAGCTTACTTCTAACAAGACAGTGAAACATTCAATACCTCATCTAATGACATCTATCCAAAATTAATATCCTAAACCTAATTGGTATGTTTGAACTCAAGCAAAAGACTGTTGCAGTTATCCTAGCTTCTTTAGTGTTAATGTATGCCACTGAGTCAAAATAGCTCCAAAGTAATTCTATGTAAGGTTTTTATTTCACTGCCTTTCTTAAAAGGTTACTTTTTCTCCTAATTCACATTCACTACTAGGAAACCCAGTGAAGTTAACAAAATATATTTAGAATCCATAAGATATAATACTAATATATTCTGCAAAGCAAATTTAAGTTACTCTTTCTTACATAGTAGCCCAGCAGTAGACATGGTCCAGTGTGGAAGCCATGTTCCCACGTCTGAAGCTCTGCTCGTAGATACAGAAGCCTATGCAGAGGGAACGGGGCCTCAAACATGAAACCCATGGCAAAGGCAACCTCAGGAAGGGAGGGAGGGAGGGAGGACAAAAAGGAAGGAAGGAAGGAAGGCAGGGAGGGAGAGAGGGAGGGAGGGAAGAAGGAAGGAAGGAAGGAAGGAAAAAAGGCAGGCAGGCAGGCAGGCAGGCAGGAAGGAAGGGAAAAGAAGGAAGGAAAGAAGGAAGGGAGGGAGGGAAGGGAGGGATGAAAGAAAGGAAAGAAGGAAGTGGAAGTAGAAAATCCTGATAGAAAAATTGCAGTATCACATTTACAATATATTCTGAATAACGTAGGAGGTTGAATCAGTGATTTGTGGTTATGAGGAAAAAAGAGGTAATTGGAAGAAAACAAATATAACAACTCTTTCATTATTTGAATTGACGCTATTTCTTTACCAGGTGGGAGTAAAATGGAGACATTGTTTCTACATTTTTAGTATAGTTGAATGTTCAAAGTATTACTTTTCTTTAGTCAAATGATTTTATCGTTATAAACTAAACATAAATATTTTACTGTTTTACCTGATTTGATTCACACTTTTATATTTTGCAATTATTAACATATGTAGATAATTTTGTGATATAGTACTACTATTTTAAAGGCACTGAGTTCAAAACTTATACCTGATTAAGTCATTCTTGCATGTATTTATATAATTGGTAGTTAGCTATATAGTGAAAAAATATGTCATGAACAAATAAGATCTCACTCAAAAAATACATAGTCAAACATGTAAAAAATAAGAATATCTAGATTTTTTAAAGTGATAAACTGCCTTCTCTTTAAGTGTTTGATGCAACATAAAAAAAGTGTGTACAATAAAAAAAAATTTAATGGAAAAAATTTTAAAGGCAGCCCAACCAAAGAGAAAGCTATAAATATATCAGCCACCTAGATTTTTAAGATAGCTATTATTAGGCTTTACATTTAGCTTTAAATGTTCTGACAATAAAATCATAAAAGGAAATGGTATTTACTTACGTAATTATCTTTTTGAAAAGAAAACAGTAATTAAGAGAGATAAGCTCTTAGTTCTATATTCTAAAAGGTTTGTGAGAATATAGTCTTTTAAAAATTTTTCTAGAAAATATAGAAGTGATCTTTATGTCTCAATTTTTATAGTTTGTTTATTGTTTGTTTTTTGAGACAGAATCTCACTCTGGCCCAGGCTGGAGTGCAGTGGCATGATCTCAGCTCACTTCAGTCTCAACCTCTTGGGTTCAAGCAATCCTCCCACCTCAGCCTTTGGAGTAGCTGGGACTGAAGGCAAATGCCACCACACCCAGCTAATTTTTTGTATTCTTAATAGATACAGGCTTTCACCATGTTGCCCAGGCTAGTCTCCAACTCCTGAGCTTAAGCCATCTTTGCACCTCAGCCTCCCAAAGTGCTGGGATTACAGGCTTGAGCCACTGTGCCTGGACTCTGTCTCAATTTCTGATATAATTTTGGGAACATAATATAACTAACTGAATTAATTTCTGCAGTTCGCTGTGCTGATGATTACACTGGTCAATAGAATATTACTGTGAAGTCACGTTTCTTATGAATGTGCCATTAAAATACTTCCTTAATTCTTGTTTTCACTGATGTATGAGCTCCATTTCATTTCCTCATCTCAAAACAGGTACTTAGAAGGAAGTATCTAAATGAGGATTAAAATTCTGGAAAATGCCTTATGTCCTTTGAAATGAAACATACTCAACATTTTTGGCAGGACGTTGCCATAATTGAATACAGATAACTTGGATTAGCCCCTATAATTACAATAATCCTTATAAGCACATTCAAATTATTAATACATGCTTTAATGGCACTTTAATATTACATTAACACTACTGAGGAGAGTTCTTAATTGGAATTTTGGTGAACATGAGTAACATCACAGGAAACATGATAAATAGAGAAAGCAGAACTCCAATATAGCGAGTGTGTTTACAGAGATTTCATTCTGTGCACTGAGACGAGAGCTTACTACCTCCAACAGAGGAAGGACCATATAAACCAGCATTCATCCAATAGTGTAATAACTAATCTTCATTGCCTCATGTTAAGACACTTACTGCATTTATTTCTACATTAATTACTCCATAAGATCTTTTTCCACATATTCATTTCAAAAAATTTTCCTAAGACCCACCTTCAACTTCACAGTTTGGCCACAAACAATGCATTCCTGCGTCCTATTAAAATTGCTTTCATTAATATCAATCAAAGATTATTCATGTCTCTCTCATCCCTACTGTTCTAAGTGCACCAAGGACCATGGAAATATCTAAAACAATGTAAATTCTGGCTTCTGTCTTACATCACAGAGAATTCCAGAGCCTCGTCTGGGAATGTGAAGTCACTTCTACAATATTACTTTAGGCATTCAATATTTATTTGTGTGTTGAGTGTAACACAAAAAACTAATAACAGATTAAAATTTTACTCCTACTGGTGATATTTTGGCGTTTTAACAATTACTCAGTGTAAGGGACAGGTGCCAAATAAATTACGTAATCACATGGTGCTTCAGTTGACTTCCTTCCTAAATAAAGTGATTGAAATCAAGTTGTCCTCCACAAGTCTTTGGAGTTTCAAGTTCTAATGTATTTGACAAGGCAGGGGTAGGGGTGGACTTATCCTACAATCACTTCTTGGGACAGCCACTTAGGATTACCTCAGTTATTTCAGTGGTAGGTCCTATCAGTAACGTCACGTACTTCCAAGCTGACCTCCTGCTTATTGCTTCAGAAAATCATCAATCATGAGATAAATATTGCCGCTTCTCACTCCACTGTTGTTTTAGAATGTTGCCCATGTGGGAAAGGGTTTCAATGGAAACTGACAATTGCCATTGGGTTCAACTGCCCTTGTGCCTCATGGGAGACGATGTTTGGTTTGTTTTTCTTTAGGAATGACCTTCACAGAGTGCATGTGGGCCTTCCTCCCACCTCCCCTGAGGGTGATTCTTTCTCCATTCCCCTTCTCTGCCCCCCTTAAGTGTCCTGTAGGTTCCCTACGTGCACCACCAATTATACACACTCCACTCACATGTCTCGCCCTGCCCTCTTGACTCTGTAAGTAGAGTCACAACCAGACAACAAGATCAATGTGGTCTCTGCTAATTTCAAATTTAAATTCTTGAGGTGGGGGCACAATTAGAAAGAAAACACCTAAATCTGGTTATAGGTTATGATAAGCACCTTGAAGCAAATTGGCGGGGTTCTGAGATGCAGATGACAGCAATGCCTCAGATTAAAAGTATCCCTAGAAAAAAAATGAGCATTAGTCAGCCATAAAAACACTTAGGAAAAAAACGCTGTAGCCAAAGCAAAATATCAATACAGAGACCCCAGGTGGAAAAGAACCCAGCACATTTGTGAAACAAAACAAACAAAAATGTAGAACAAGGAAGGGCTGTGAGCAGTCAGAAAAGGAAGACAAAGAAGAAAAGGAAAGAAGGTTGAAAAAGGGGGCAAGAGCCACAGTGCGCAGTACGTTGTAGCCCAGGATTTATTCTAAGAATAATTGGAAGTCATTGATTTTACATGGTTCTGAGACAGGCAAGGAGCTCGATTTACTGCATAAGGGAATTCTCAGGATTTTGTAGATCCTTTAGTTTTTGAGTGAGTTTACTTTCATTAAATATAATATCATTTAGGTAAGTCTAGCCTTTGGAAACAGAAGCATGCTACAGAAAGGGAAAACTGTTGAGTCACAGTGGGTTTCTGAACCCAAATATAGAGACACAGGATGCAAACTATTTAACAAGTATTAAACTGGCACTATCTGAGCACACTTATATCCTCTATTCCCAAATAATGGATAAATCTAAAGGATGATACTACAAAGCATGTATTTCAATAGAGAGCTAGATATAGAAGTATATTGTCTCATTGACAAGTTGTGCTCACTTGAAAATTATGATTATTCTATTTTTTTAAATAATTCCTTTGGTTTCAGGATATTCTTACTCACTTTAGAATTCATGATGTTTTTCTACCAAATTTATGTCTTGGATGTTAAAACTTGAAAGAATTCTCTGTTCTACAGTAGGTCTTGCAAATGTTTCATGGTAAGTAACTAGGGAATAAAGAGTCTAGACATGGAATAAGTAATGACTAGTGGCTCTGTGACTTAGCCAACCACCAACTCATCATTTATGAAAACCTCAGTCCTGTCATACTTTTGATCAAGGCTCTAGACACAGGGGAGTGGACTTTAGACATGTCAGTGGGATTGAGATGGGTGGTGAGTAAAGTTTTGAGTGTTAAAAAGGGAAATAGTATTTGAAGTGGAAATCAGGCTGGGCTGCTTGGAGTCCCCCCACTTTCTGTCACCAGGTTGTCTATTCTTTACTTCCTGTTGAATAAGTAAAAATGAAGTAGAAGCTTTCTTTCCCAGTGCTTCTATCACAGTTCACCAGGAAGTCATGCGATACTTTATAAAGGATCTATAATTGGCATTCAAGCCTTTTTAACACTATCTGATTGGGGCACTTGTTTATTTCTCATTTTAAAATATCTGTTTCCCCAAATCTTGTCATTCTCATGAACTATAATCATAAATTTCAAGTGATCTTTCTGTCCTTGACTTTTTTCAACACAACACCATGCTCAGATTTATTCCAAAATGTCACTTTGAGCAGATCATTAATTATATCCGGCTAAAAATCCTTCAGTGGTTCAACATTGTGTGCCCGCTTTATTATGGCATTTCTAAATCATGTGGCAACTAGTTCATCACCCAAGTGTGTTGACTCGTTTCTTTTCATGTGATGTAATTATTAGGTAATAATGTCCAATCAGTGGGAAAATGCTTTAAAGAAATCAGGGGTAGATTCTGTGACCATATCTTGTTTTCAATAGTCCATTTTAAATACAAACTTACACAGTTCACTATTTTAAAGTGTGAACAATTTTTGATCTTCACATATTTATGAACTGCTTTGTATTTCCTACAGTTGTGCATGATCCATGGATTAATTAAAAATTAAATTCACAATGGCCATTCAAGATCAATCTTTAGGAGCTCATGCTACAGAATGAGAGAGCTGTAAACAAAAGACTTAAAATGCAGTATATTCTGTGCTATGGGAGGGTAAAGCACACATTAGAGGTGCTGTTAGAAATAAAGCTCGGGCCGGGCACGGTGGCTCACGCCTGTAATCCCAGCACTTTGGGAGGCCGAGGCGGGCGGATGACAAGGTCAGGAGATCGAGACCATCCTGGCTAACACAGTGAAACCCCGTCTCTACTAAAAATACAAAACAATTAGCCAGGTATGGTGGTAGGCGCCTGTAGTCCCAGCTACTCGGGAGGCTGAGGCGGGAGAATGGTGTGAACCCGGGAGGCGGAGCTTGCAGTGAGCCAAGATCACACCACTGCACTCCAGCCTGGGCCACAGAGCGAGACTCCGTCTCAAAAAAAAATAAAATACAATAAAAAGAAATAAAACTCGGAGTTGTAAAGAAAAATGAGCACTCAAACAGGATTTCTCAGCAAAGCAAATTTACTTTTGCGCAGAAGGGTGCTTCTAGCAGGGCTGGCTGCCACAGCAGCGCCGCAAAGGAGAGTAGAAGCTTTTATGCCTAACGCGACTCCTGCACTTGTGTCCTTTCCCCATTGGCTGGGGTCAGGCCGCACAATTTAGACTCAGTTGGCTAAACATTTAAACTTTCTTAGATGAGGTGGGCGTGTGATGGGAGAGAGGGGAGAGGAGGAAGGGGTCATCCACAGAGGACTAGAGAGCCAGCCCATTCTCACATCAGGAAAGGAATGTGAGCTGGGGCTGTGGCATGTCTGGGCATGTAGTGACACCAGAAAGAAGAAAGTGGGGGGTACTTGGAATTAGAGAATAAGAAGCTGAGCATGCTATTTGAAAAGAAACCGTGCTATATCTCACAGGTGCCTTGTTCAACTTGTGCTATATTTCTAGCTCTAGACTCAGCGGGCTCCTCAGTCCTTTCTATTGTGATAAAAATATAAATAACATGACATCATGTTAACTATTGTTAAGCGTACAGTTCAGTGGTATTAAGTATATGCACATTGTTTTGTAGCCAATCTCTACAATGTTCACATCTTGCAAAACTCTGCACTCATTAAACACTAATTCTGTCTGTTTGCTACTCCTAGCCCTAGGCAACCACATTTCCTTTTTTTTTTCTATGATTTCGACTACTAGAGATAGTTTATATGAGTGGAATCATACAATATTTGTCTTTTTTTTGATACTGGCTTATTTCACTTAGCAGCAGAATGTAGACTTTTCACTCCATTGTTTTCTTTTTCATGTTTGATGTAGTCACATTTGTATATTTTTGCTTTTGTTACCTGTGACTGTGGTCTCCTATCAAAAAATCAATGCCAAATCCAAAGTCCTGAAACTTGTCTCCTCTGGTTTCTCCTAGGATGTAAACAGGGCTGTACTGTTTGGGGTGGAGTCTGTAATTCACTGAGATGCATGATTCCTGCACATGTGTAATGCAGAGGCTATGTCATTTCCTGGCTTATGACCTTGAATACATTACTTACCATCTGCCCATGAATGAGGATACTGGTCCAGGTTGTTGGTGGGTGGTACGTAGACCAAAATAGTCCTGTGACCAGAGAAATTTTGGAAACCATGTATTAAATAAACTTGATGAGAGTTCATCACTGCAGAGTTTCTCTGCACCAGTAAAATGCTAATATAATTTGTGAGCCCCTGAGAGAGAGAGAGAGAGAACATTTTACTTCCCCTAAAGGTATTTTGTCACTTCCCTTGTCACCAGACATGCACTCCTTTATGCTTTGAAGAGACTGCAGGATGTAACAAGTGGAAATAATAGAAATAGCATTTAAGATATGTGTCAAACCTGCCAACAGTTTACAGATGAGACAAAATCTTTTTACCTCTACAATCTAAATTTCCCAGATGATAAATAAAACAGTTTCTTTTCTTTTCATAAGGTACTATGTTATTAATGGCGTTTTCCATATATATATATATTTGTGTGTGTGTGTGTGTGTGTGATGAAGACTTACTGACTCCTTACACACTGTGACATAGAAGTCTGGGTGCAGAGGTCCACATTTATAGCTGTCTATAATCATGGCATTTGACATTTACTTCCTCCATTGTCAGGCTCACATGATGTCTCCTTGGGTGACTTGATTTCTTTCTTCCCCTATGTTCCAGCACATTATCTCAACTTTAATGCGATTTTTCGAATTAAGAGTTAACAAAAATAACGAGCAGCACCTCTGTGTTAGGGTGTGCCATACCTGTGCGCATCTAGAAAAAGAGGAATTTTCATCTGTGTGTCGTGTGCCAGAGAATAATTATGTAGTCAATTACAATAAACACTACAGCCAACAAGTTGTTGTCTTTTCAAAATTAGAGAATAACCACTTACGTTCCACATAGTGTTCATGGTCTACCTGGGCGTTGAATACTCAGGTGTCTGTATGCGCCTGTATTTTGATTTCTTGACCCTGTTTCATGCTACTCCTCTATTAATCTCTTCACATGGGTCTGCTTCCCTCACTCTCTGCTTATCAACTTTTTTGTTTTGAGCTCTCTAGTTTGAAATATCTTTTTTTTTTTTTTCTAATTGTGATGTTTGAAAACCTTACACTCTGCCAGTCATGCACAGTTGAGGAAAATTGCCCAAGGTCATTTCAGTTCATAATATCTACAAAAGTCCCATTTGTCCTGTTTTAAGTATTTGATTAAAATTGCATGTTTATCATGTGTTCTAAAATCATTTTTATCTGGAAGATTTAAGCAAACTATTCTCAGAATTTTGCCTGATGGATTTAGAAAAATGGCTACAATAAATTCCAGGGACCTGATGAGGCTGATTGTTATATTCTGATTCTTAATGCTCACGTTTTATGATCAGTGGTAGGTGAAGCCATTAAAGTGTTTTTGGTCAAATTAGGACACTCATCTTCTTAATGGCTGTGTTTTAGATTCTTTGCTTTCATAGGCTGGATTCATGGGGTTTAAAAACTTCTCTTGCTACATTCTACATCTAATTGCAATTTTACATAGAAGCATCTTTGTAAATGTCCAAATTTTAACATTGGAATTGAACACAAAATGTATCAGTGGATAATATTGTATAAAACACTACAGTACATAAGACCCACCTCCTTTCCCAATGCCTGCGTTTTGTTCTTTCTTGTTTAAGTGTTTTTAAATGTGTAGATTGCACAAGAATTACCTTTATGTTGTCTTCACATTTAATCAGGGCACCTGGGCATTCAGAGTCATGTATTAGGTTGGCACAAAAATAATTGTGGTTTTTGCCATTAAAAGTGATAGCCAACCTAATAGTTTGTGAACCACCTTTTTTTTTTTTTTTTTTCTTTTTCCAAGTTGGAGTCTTGCTCTGTCACTCAGGCTGGAGTGCAGTGTGCGATCTCGGCTCACTGCAACCTCCGCCTCCTGGGTTCAAGCACTTCTCCTGCCTCAGCCTCCCAAGTACCTGCGATTACAGGCACATGCCACCACGCCTGGCTAATTTTTGTATTCTTAGTAGAGACGGGGTTTCACCATGTTGACCAGGCTGCTCTGGAACTCTTGACCTTGTGATCCACCTGCCTTGGCCTCCCAAAGTGCTGGGATGACAGGCGTGAGCCACTGTGCCCCGCCCTGTGAACCACCTTTTAAAGAAGCATTGCTTCACCCCATATGATATATTATCATTTATGGTATGAAGCATATGTATGCTGTGATTTGAAAGAAGTACAAATTATTTCTCTTGAAAATTTTCCTAAACAATAAGACAGCTTACTTTTTCCCAGATATCTCTGCTTCTGGAAAATTAATCTAGAATTTTCCTATCATAGTTACGTTTTGTGAGTTCTTTTTAGTCTGCCTTAAGAATAAATAATTCTTTTTATTTGTATATGTCTTCCTAGATACCTATGTTTTGTGTCTATATAAATACTTATAAATGTCTATTTCTATAGGTTTGCCCATTATTTATATGATACTGCTACCCCTGGCTTGACAATATGAGAGATCACTTTCAATCAATGCAAACATCGTTCTTCTAAAACACTTCAGGAAAGGCAGACTTGTTGATTAGCATTCTCTTTTTATTTTTTATTTTATTTTTTTGAGATGGAGTCTCGCTCTGTTGCCCAGGCTGGAGTGCAGTGGTGTGACCTTGGCTCACTGCAACCTCTGCTTCCCAGGTTCAAGCGATTCTCCTGCCTCAGCCTCCCGAGTAGGTGGGACTACAGGTGCACACCACCACGCCCGGGTACTTTTTGCATTTGTGGTCGAGACGGGGTTTCAGGGCCATGTTGGCCAGGCTGGTCTTGAACACCTGACCTCAGGTGATCTGCCTGCCTCGGCCTCCCAAAGTGCCTGGATTACAGGCATGAGTCACCATGCCCAGCCTAACAGACATGATGTGATAAGAATTATCATACATAATTCTTTTTAAAATTCTTTTTTTTTAAAGTACATGATTCTTTTTAAAAGTCTAAAAAGAGAATTATGTATACATGTATAGACTCAAGCTTACCTTCTACACAGTTCATATTTATTACCAAACACCACCCTGCCTACTTCCTATCATATCATATTTGTTTCACATTTTGACTAATACAGTGAATAAATATAAATAGTCTAATTTTTTCTGTACCAAAAATTCATCAATAGACGACCTTCTGTCCCCTAAAGGTCAGAAGGTTCACTGCCTTGTCTTCTATGTTATTGTCTACATTCCCCCACCTCCTTTCTGGCTTTTCTGTTTCGGAGCCATTCTGTAGATGGTTGATTTCTCTCTCAGAAGGTTTCACCGCATTCCCAAAAAGCTCAGAGTTCTCCTGTGCTCCACTCTTGCCCTATTTTAACATCCCCATCACTGTCCTGTATGTCAAGCCTAGCTGTCTTCTGCCCCTGCATCTGACACACCTTTACCAACAAAAAACCACCGTTCTCCCAGCACTTTGGGGAGGCTGAGGCAGGTGGATCACGAGGTCAGGAGTTCAAGACCACCCTGGCTAACATGGTGAAACCCCGTCTTTTCTAAAAATATAAAAAAATTAGCCGGGCGTGGTGGCGGGCACCTGTAGTCCCAGCTACTCAGGAGGCTGAGGCAGGAGAATGGCATGAACCCGGGAGGTGGAGCTTGAAGTGAGCTGAGATCACACCACTGCACTCCAGCCTGGGCGACAGAGTGAGACTCTGTCTCAAAAATAAATAAAAAAATAAATAAATAAAAAATAAAAATTAAAAACCACTGTTCTCATGATGACTTGAATTACTCCTAGTGTTGCAAGCGAATTAGTGCATCTTTATGAGAGAAATGCAAAGTATGGAAAATACTTGGGCTCTGATCATATCAATCGCTTATGCACTTTGTCACTCCTTTTAATATAGTAGCAGGTTTAAATAATATTGATAAAAAATATTCTTACACATACCAGGTATTAATCTCTTTGCATTCTTAGCTTCTAACATATACTGGGTGTGTAGTGACACTGGCGAAGGGAGAAGAAAAGATGGTTCTTTTTACATTTCAAATATTGTGCTCTGCATAGAACTGCTTCCTGAGTCTGGCCATGTTAAACACCGGTCAAAATGGTATTTTTGTGTGTTTTTATTTTATTCATTTATTTATAATTAATTATAAATTAATTATAATTCCTTAAAGGCCAGATATAAATGCAATTTTTTTTTCCCCAGAGGATCAATTGAATAGAATTCAAGAAAGGAGAAAATGACAATAAATCAATATGTAATAACTGCATATAAATCAATATATAATAAAAACACATCATATCTTATGGGTAAAACATGCAAGTTTAGTAACTGGCCTTTAATATGAATTGTAATGTTTCACTTTTCATTTCAAAATATTTTGTCTTGATATTTGGAACCTGTTTTTGTAATCGATATTCTTCGTTCTGTGTCACCTGGTGTGTCCTTGAAGTATCTCAGAATGACGATGACTTAGTATCACCCTAAAGTAGATTTTTAGTATTCCCGACTGTAGTTAAAATTTACCTAGTATTTTAAGTATACATTTTTTTCAGGGGGAAATAAAAAACTCAGAGATGTATGGTAGATGACCTTGCTAATATGTGGTAGGAAAGAAAAGATGGGATTTAAATGTAGTAATCTATGTTCTAAAGTTAAAACAAAAGATTTTAGACTTACATTAGTAAAAGAAGTTAAAGGCCTAAGTGATTGTATATATTTTTTCATATTTAGCAGTTTTATCTTCTATGTAAAGCCCCAATGGCTTGAAAATCTGTGGTAGGAATAAAGTATATTGCTGCTTAATGCTTATGGTACTTCATACTTCTAAAAATGCAGCCATTTAAGGAAAAATCTATTTCAACTTAGAAAAAGTTCGTGGCACTCCTCCTACCTACTCATTCTATACAGAATCAATGGGTTCTGTGGCCTGACATTACTCAACTAGTTTATGTACCACTGCTTTCCATTCTGACCTGGATTCCGTAGCATGGGATTCTCAAATGAACAATCACGGTACTGTAAGATGAAGACACTTCTCTCTCTCCATTTCGCCCTCTCAGATTTGGGGAAACACTCGGCAAGCTGGTGAAGGATTTGGGATGGTGTTGCCTCCGACTCAGCAGATCTGGGGTCGGCACTGGTGAACACATCTCTTACAGGCTCCATCATCCAGGCAGTGGAGGAAGTGTACTGTTAGCTCAACACGCATGAGAGATCAGGCTCATATACATGGACACACCGACCTGTGCAACTCTGCAGCCAGGCTGACTTCACTTTGCCTTTTGTTTAATATCAGACACAAGGAGCCTGGCTATGAGGGTCTGGTGGGGACTGGAGTTAGTATAATGCGTCTGGCACAGTGACAGCCATGCAGGGATGACCCAGGGTTTCCCTTGACCTTGCTGCTGACTCTGTAGCTTCGACCCACAGCTGCTTCCTGAGTGGGCACTGCGTGAGTCACACTGGGTCTCGTGCTTGGTGGCCGCTGGTTTTGAAGTTCTTAATCATTTTATCTTTGCACTTGTGCTTTTTTTTTTTTTTCTTTTTCGGAAAGTGAAGTCTGGTGAGACGTGGAGCAGGCATGAAGCAGATGAAGCAGGGAAAGCTGACTGGCTTCAGGGCAGAGCCCCGCGTGGGGACCGGCCCATGGGCAGTGCAGGCAGCTGCGTCCTCTCTGTGCCTGGGGACCACTAGCATGGGACTGCCCCTGAGTGGACCTGTTCTCCTGCTGTTTTTTTTTTTTTCCTTCTGATTAACTAAAGTCCTACTCACCTCCTCCACCCCAGCTTCCTTTCTGAGAGTCCCAGTCAATTAAGTAATCTGATAAGTTCTCTCCTGTTGTTGTGAAGTACAAGAACTAAAGTGCGAATCCAAGGCCCCATAAAGAATGTGAAGCTGGCCTACCAAGAGAAGCCTTTCTCCACTATTTCTTCATGACATGTTAGAATAATGGAATAAATTATTTGTATTCAACAAGCCCTTAGCACCATTTCAAATGCATTTTTTAATTAAATGAAATTAATATATCCATCAACATCCAATGCTGTACACTTTAGATCCTCAGAACTTGCTCATCTCATAATGGAAAGTTTGTACCTTTTGATAAACCAAAATCAATTTTTGATTCTACAAAATATGGTAGCTGCATATCTTGTTTATTCTTATGATAAGGATTTATACAGAGAGGTTTCAGTGTTTTAGAATTCGTTTATCTGATACCTTAGGCTGAGTTCCAGTATTATATGATGCCTTTAAAAAAATCTGTGAGTGTCTTAACTGAATGCAATTCATCTAGGAAAGTGCAGGATTACAGCTTTAGGTTCTGTAAATATTGTTTCTGTTTAATGAAGAACAGACTGTTCATGAGATCCTTTTTTGTTGTCTTTAAGAGAAAGAGAGAGAGAGATTGAATGTAAAATATTTTTTCTCTTTTTTTTTTTTGTAGAAGAACAGAATTCCAAGATTCACACATAATTTTTTTATATAAAGACTGCTAAGTATGCTTGAAAAACAAAAGTAAGAGGGCAATATCCTGGAGTTTTACATATCATAAAAACACAATTTTTGAAGAGACTTTTTACAATATGTATATATTGAAGTTGGGATCTTCTATACTCAATGTGGAAGTAACAAATTTTGTTATTGAAATCAAAGCCTTGATTCATTGTGTAATGAAAATAAGATAATTTAATTTTTAACAATTAACTCATAGCTCTGATTTAAAGGTACTCAAAGTCTTCTTGGTAGAATAACAAGAGAAAGAGTTGAAGTCTTTGTTCATTTCTACAGAAGGAGAGCAATAGAAATAAACTTTGGTTATTCAAATGATAAGAATATTGTTTACATCATATAATTTCTAGCATTTGTCTTTGCATTTCTAGCTGTAGGTCTTGCTGCATGCCAAGAACCAGCCCTCCCCAGCAACAGCATCAAAATCGGAGATCGGTACATGGTGAACGACGTGCTCTCCTTCCAGTGCGAGCCCGGGTACACCCTGCAGGTATCCTTCTTCTCAGTGCTCAGGAATAACATACACATGGTCATCTTTGTGCAGCTCTCTTAAAGCCAAAGCCCTCACTTTGTACCCATGTTTTCCTCACTCAGTTTGTGAATCATACTATTCATATTAAATCATGCATGTTGGTCATCTTCGTCACCATTTGGAAACAGCTTTTAAGTGATAATGTACTCTTTCAAAGCTAAGCATTGTATTTTTCACAATTGTTTTATTTCAAAATATATGCGTTCCCAATAACTATGCACAGAGCATTCTAGGGGCAAAATATCAACACTGTCTCTTTGAAAGTCCTCTCCTGGCAGCCAGTAATTGAATCTGCTTCTGTATGTGCACCTGCTACCCTGCAAACTGTTCTCATCATTCAGTATAAGTCATCATTAATGCCCTCTTTGGGCTAGGTAGATAAGGCACCAAAATAAAACATTTAAGTAAGTTTTAAAAACTATTAAGTAGAAGTTTTTCAATGAACTTTTACTATCTTCTATATAAAGAGGGTTTTTTTTTTTTTTTTTTTTTCTGAGAGGGAGTCTCGCTCTGTCACCCAGGCTGGAGTGCAGCGGCATGATCTTGATCTTGGCTCACTGCAAGCTCCGCCTCCCAGATTCAAACAATTCTCCTGCCTCAGCCTCCCAAGTAGCTGGTATTACAGGCACCTGCCACCACACCCGGCTACTTTTTGTATTTTTAGTAGAGATGGGGTTTCACCATGTTGGCCAAGCTGGTCTCGAACTCCTGACCTCAGGTGATCCACCTGCCTTGGCCTCCCAAAGTGCTGGGATTACAGGTGTGAGCTACTGTGTCCAGCCAAGAGTTTTTTATATAAAAGTTTTGATGAATGATTTATAATCTAATGTATGGCAAGAGTAGTCATTTTTCTCTTATTATTTATTATTAATATTTTCTAGTTTAACCATGAGTAAGCCTACTCTCAGAATAGTGTCTATCACTTAGCATAATTATTATATAATTCTCTCTGCCAGCAATAAAAATTGATAATCAAAACATGTATATTCTAAAGTCAGGAGAAATATATAGGTCGATTGACATTCCAGCTCTTCAGTTAATTCAGGTAATAGAATATTTTAGCTGTATGTTTATAATGACACTGACACTGATAGGTTTTAAAGGAAAATTGTTTAGCTATGTTCTTATATGCAGAGTTGCAACACTACAGCCGTGAAATAACAGCACTGTGTGGAATTCAGTTTCTGCATGTACATTGGGGTAAATATTGTGTAGCAGTGAATCAAGTTAAGAGCAAGAACAGGGGCTGGCAAACGCTGAATGCTAAAGGGGTGCATTACCAAGTGCTTTATATACAAAATCTCACTTCTCCTGATCAACCGTGGGACATGGGTACCATGTGATGTATGCTTTCAGCTTAGAGAAAATATCTGTGAAATAACTGGCACACTTTAGTATAGGAAAACTATTGTAGCTGTTATTAGAAACCAGTATCAATGTATAAAGCCACCTTCGTAAGAACAAACCTACCACTTACATTATAACACCATCTTGGTGGGTACCACAATAATTGTAACTCTGCAAAAAGATTGGAGGCAGAGCGAGAGTCTCTGTAGTGGAAACTGGTGAGTAAGGACTCCTGAAAGTTGGGATACCTCAGTAAGTTTGTAACCAAACACACTCAAGCTATTCAGGCTGAATCTTTAGGACACAACGTTCCTGATCCACCTGATATGTCAGAAAGAATTATCCTAGGCCGGTTGCAGTGGCTCACACCTGTAATCCCAGCACTTTGGGATTCCAAAGTCAGAGGATTGCTTGAATCGAGGAGTTTGAGACCAGCCTGGGCAACACAGTGAGACACCATCTCTACAAAAAATACAAAAATGAGCTGGGCATGGCGGCGCATTCCTTTAGTCCCAGTTACCTGGGAGGCTGAGGTGGGTGGATCGCTTGAAACAGGAGGCGGAGGTTGCAGTGAGCCGAGATTGCACCACTGCACTCCAGCCTAGGTGACAGAGCAAGACCCTATCTTAAAAAAAGAAAAAAAGAAAAGAATTGTCTTTCATATCTCAAGGATCTCATTTAGAGGGACACCTCAATCTGTACTGACATGCTGTTTTTGTGCCTTTTTCGGGGCTTGCTTTATAATTGCCTGAAATCAGGTAAATATCATGTTTCCTCCATTCTCCCTCAAATTCCCAAACTGTAATATTTGCTCTTGCTCATCGATGTTCCTCTTCTTTCTACCTGATGGTGAGACTTTGCAGATTCTGTTGCCGTTCTTTTATAAATGATATTATGACAGCTCTCAGAGAAGAAAATAGAAATAATTCTTTACCAAAGAAATTTCTTATAATGGATTATTGAATATGCTGCTTAGGGACACAGGCCTGTGGATGCACTTCTGCACAGTCCCAGCAGACCGTTTATTAGCTCTGTTTTTCAAATGCAAACTAAGCTGTGTTTCTTTTCTTCGTTACAAACAATGCCAAGCTTTGAGTTTGCAAGCTGCTGTTTGTCATTCACATGAGCAAAAAAGGATTCTGGATTTTTTTTGAATTGCTAACAACTGACAATTTTACTAACACTTTAATATATTTGGAACAACAGATGCATCAATTACATATTAGTCATGAAAAGCATTGTTCCTTGCATAGTTCACACGTGAGTGTCTATAAATACATATGCCTAGTGTGATTCAGGGGCTGCCATGACATCACACGCTGAAAGTAAATCCTGAATATTGGAATGATGTATGACTTCCATCTTCTCTCAACTTGTTTTAATGGTCTTTTTAAACATAAAAAAGAAAATTCCCATTGGTGTAAAAACTAGTAAATAAATGCACAGGGTCCTATCTTGTTTTGATTTATTAGAAAACTTGTAGCTAGAATCGCTCATCGGAAACGTTTATAACAAAATCAATAGCAGAATATTACCTAGATTGGTAATAAATGACCATTTTATTGGTAGTCTCTGATGAAAATTTTTTGAGACTTTTGAACTCTATGTTTTTCCCTATTTCAGAAGGAAATTTGTAAGGATAATTTAATGCGTCGAAGAATGGGGATACAGAGAGTGTCAATGCCGGCAGCACAAAATTACCTGGAGTATCTTCTTTAAAATTAAATATGGTCTTCTTTACTGTAACTACTTTTAAAAATATCAAGAGGTATGAGAAAGTTAGTTTTGTGGCAGGTGGATTGAGTATGAAATGTTTGAGAGCTTAGGGAATCGGTTTGCCATTGATAACTGCATTAGTGCAAACGCTTGTTTGATGCGTTCCCAGTGTGGCTGGAATTATTTAACATACATTAGATATTGTTTTTCAATTGCCTCTATGCCAATTGTGGGTGGCAAATGGAAATTTATGAGATAAGCAAACCTGGCTGATAAGGCCACCGAGTCACGATCAGGAAAAATATAAAAATAGGCCGCACACAGAGGTCTCATGGATCACCTCTCTTTTACTGAGAAAGAGATGTTAGCACAAAACATCTTTGAATTTAACCCTCTACTGTTTGTTTTTTTTTTCATTGAGAAAGACTGGAACAGATTTTTTAAAGTAGAAAGTGGAAAATTCATGTATTTACAGGGTAAAGAGACCCTGAGTGATGAGGGTTAATTTCATTGCAGGCAGGTTGTTGTGATGTGTGAGGATGTCTAGTGAGAAAATGAATGTGAAGTCTCCGTTCTGTGATAAAGAAACGACCCAGTGCTTTGCTGAACCCTGGTAGTCATGTGACGCGGAAGCACAGACAACCACCGAAGCTACCTCTCCATAAGCAGACTTTGTATTGCTGACATTTTGGCCTTTTAATCACCACCTAGTACTTTCTAATTGTTTTCAGCTTCTTAGGCCAAAAGCTGTAAATTCTGGTGAATGAAAAAAAAAATGCATATTTTGCCCAATTCAGTACTCTTAAGTATCAAGAAAGGAGCTGAGTCGAATTATGGTCTGGTCAAAAGGACATTGCAAGATTTTGTTTTTAGTAGAAAGAAACACGGTGAAAATGGATACTTTTCTATGTTGGTTCAAAATGTGACTCACTAATAATCATTACTAAAAACAGATTTCACAATTTTTGAATTTTCAAATATTTATAATTAAAACAAGAAAGGAAAAAATGCAGATATTCTCAAACATTTAATCCTTAAATACTCTGTTTTTAGTTATATGTATTTTCTTTTGTTTTCTTTTAAACAGGGCCGTTCCCACATTTCCTGTATGCCAGGGACCGTTCGCCGTTGGAACTATCCGTCTCCCCTGTGCATTGGTAAGGATGCACCTTCTGTAACTCTGCTGCTGCGCACACACTGGGAAGAACATGCCTGCTCTACTCTTGGGGTCAAAGAATGCACTTCTAAATTTCTTAATTTCAAAACACGTGTTATATACTAATAGCACATAATGCAGTAGAGCAGAATGATGCGTTTAACCTGCACCTTCCCCACTGGATGCAGCAACTCCGTCTTCTCAGTGTGTCTGGGTCAGCCCGCACAGACCAGAGGCAAGACTGCCCGCTCACGGCCCTGCACCAAAACGACATGTGTGTCAGAAGGCCAGTTTGTTAATTTGTGGCAAAGAAGGAATGCAGCTGGTCTGAAAGTCTGGGGAGTTTTCTGTATAGACCTTTAGCCTCAGAAAAAACAAGTTCCCAGGAAGAAAATTCAGAATGACAGATTACTGATGGAGTGATGGAGTATTTCATGTTGGAAACAGCCTGGTGACTATCTTGTGGATGCGCTCCTGGGGGCACAATCAGCCGGCTTCTTTAGGAAAAAGCTTTCCAGAGCTGTATTTAATGGCTTGAGACTCCCTAAACTGTTAGCATAGGTAATGTGATGGGAGTTTAATGATTCCAGGGGCATTGAAGGTGGTGGTCACAAGTCCCTCAGTACAAAGGTTGGTGATGTCAGGGTGCCCTTTGCTCCCCATCATTCAGGCCCCCAGCTTCACCCATCACCTATTTGTTGTAGCCCAACTCAGAAACCTTTACCTGTAGCTCAGGCAACCATTCAACCTTGCAGGTACTGTCTCAGTAGGATCATGGTCAGTTACTTGACACTCCTTACCCGCAACCCACAAAGTGATCGGCTTCTCCAAACCTATTGTTGTTCTCCTGGATCTACTTCCTCTGCGAATGCTATTAGCAGTATCCTGCTTTTTTTTTTTTTTTTTTTTTTGTCTAAACAACAAATCTGGGTATTACCTTAAATTTCTCCCTCACTCCCTAAATCCAAGTGACTTCTCACTCCTGTCACCCCTTCCACCTGAGCGTATCCTCCCCTGTGATTCTTAGCTCCAATGCCCCATCTTTAAGATGGCACAGTCCCCTCCTAAATTATCGTCTCCATGGAATCCTAACCTACAGCTCCCATATTCAGCCATACTCCAACTTTATCACAGGAAAGAGGCAAAAGGAAACATCGGCAGTACTGATCTTGTCTTTATTTAAAATTTTCATATTTTGTTCATCATAGATTTTCTGCCTTTCTTTTTATTTTTTCCAAATATTGCATTAAAATATTTATTGGAGGGTTTAGGCACCCTCTTGAATTTTGCACTGGAGAGAGTGTCCCCTCCTCAATGCTCTCTGAGCTCCCACCTGCAGGTGCAGTGAGTCATCTCTACCCTGGGCTACCACCACCATGTGCCTGACTTTACTTCCTGCAGAGTTGTAATGATATTGCTCTTTAATTTGCCCTTCTACAATCCCCAAAGGCTTTGGTGACAGAGACTTGCAATACTCACCTCTGTATCTTCAGCACATGGTAGACACTCAAGAATTTCAATTAAAGAATGGCTAGGGAATGAATGAGTATCAGAGAGCCTGGATCATTATAACAGTCACACTTCTGGGGTGCTGTCTTTATTGTTCCCCACAGTCTTCGAACACTCAAGTATTGCTGGGGGTGTGCTCAGAACCCATTTATGTCCAGACAGTCAGCCTCAAACATGCCATACTGCCAAATGGTGTTTTAGGAGAAAGTGGTCAACTCTATATGGATGAACATTAGCTATTTTAAAGGCCACAGAATAGCCTTAAAATTGTCCTGGGAGCTATTCACATTCTGTTTAGAATTCATTTCGGCGTAGTGTGGTGTGGGCACCCACAAGTAAAGCGAGGTAATTACTGTCTGTTACACATTCTTCTGACAGCCTAATTTCCCCACATCTCAAATAAATTTAGGTATTCAATGGTTTTTAGTAATACACAATTTAACTGCCTTGCATGGGATGCAGGTGAAATTGTGTACAGAGGAAAATAAAACTGCACGAAACCTGTAAAACAAAAAACTTCAGCCTTTATGATAGGCTCATCCAGGAGAGAACGTCTGTTTATGTTATGTTCACTACATCATAGTTGCTTACAAGTGAAAAATATACCTTAGAGGACAGTATCTTATTTTTAAAAGCTATGTCTTGGTAAAAATAAATGTCTAGATTAACATGTCAGCTAAAAACATTGAGCTACTTTTACAGACGTTTAAAATCCCAGCCTTGACCGGGCGCGGTGGCTCACGCCTGTAATCCCAGCACTTTGGGAGGCTGAGGCGAGTGGATCACGAAGTCAGGAGATCGAGACCATCCTGGCTAACACGGTAAAATCCCGTCTCTACTAAAAATACAAAAAATTAGCTGGGCGTGGTGGCGACCATCTGTAGTCTCAGCTACTCGGGAGGCTGAGGCAGGAGAATGGCGTGAACCTGGGAGGCGGAGCTTGCAGTGAGCCAAGATCGCGCCACTGCACTCCATCCTGGGTGACAGAGCGAGATTCTGTCTCAAAAAAAAAAAAAAAAAAAAAAAAAATCCCAGCCTTGATTTGGAAGGAAAAAATTAAAAAATTTAAAAAACGAAACAATTAAAACTGCCTTTGATTCATACAGAACATCAATCTGCCTATTTATTTTTAAATGAAGAGCCTTCCCTAAAAGTCAGGAATTGAAATTTTTTAAACTTCACAATGAAATCAATTCTAAGCAGACATAGACTCAAATAATATGCCTTTGCTGTCACTTTGTATTACATAATGGGATGTTTTATTCAAAGAATTAACTTATATTTGCAAAATATAATAGGCTTTTCTCTTTTACTTAACATCGTAAATATTAGCACATGTTTAAGTTATGTCAACTTCTGTAATTCTTTACAGGGTATACAAGTTTTTTCATTGTTTTAAAAACTCACACATGACCCATGATAAATCTCAAAGACAGATTCTAGTGATTAAAAGGTTTTTTGTAGCTGTTAGCTTTAGATTACTCCAAACTGGGGAATTGTAAGAGGAGAAGTCCATAGAGAGATAATATTTTACTTAAGAGCTCCTGGAAATCCCATGACCTAATTTTGAAAAATAAAAGTACTAATGAAGAGAATGTATATAAAACCACTTCTCTAGAGGTTAATATATCAAGCAGTGTTCTCAGAATTTAACCAGTATTGACTGTTTTGAATATTTATAACAAGCCCCAGAATGGTCTCGCAGTTTTCTAGGGCTCTACAGCTGGGTGAAGTTCATGTCACAGCAGGTGGCCCAGGACCTCCCTGTCTCACTGCACCGCAGGGCTCTTCAGCATGGTGTGTCTGTGTCCTTCAGTAAAAATTCTGTATATTCTTTCTCCCGCCAAAACCAAGAATTCACACAAAATAAGATGTATAAATCCAGTAAAATATAAGGTCTCTAGCCATTTTATAAAAATAAACTCCTTTCCCTTTACAAAAACCACATTTACCAATAACTCTAAATATGCTATTTACCTATAAGAAAGGGTCTGGCATGGAGGGAGCTTCCCAGGCAGGAGGCAGGAAGTCAGTCTGCAACTTGATGACCACACAGAGATGGACACTGAACCAATCTAAGACATGGCAAGCCCAGTCGCCTTAAAATGTCACAAAGGGCTGGGCACAGTGGCTCAGGCCTGTAATCCCCTCACTTCGGGAGGCCGAGGCAGGTGGATCACCTGAGGTCAGGAGTTCGAGACCAGCCTGACCAACATGGTGAAACCCCATCTCTACTAAAAATACAAAAATTAGCCAGGCGTAGTCGCAGTTGTGGGCGCCTGTAATCCCAGCTACTCGGGAGGCTGAGGCAGGAGAATCACTTGAACCAGGGAGGCGGAGGTTGCAGTGAGCTGAGATTGCACCACTGCAGTCCAGCCTGGGTGACAGGGCAAGACTCTGTCTTAAAAAAAAGTTACAAAGGAAGAAAAGATGGATATGCGTCTTTTGGGAGCTCTGTTTTTACGCTTATCTATTGACTTGTAGTTTTCTAGATAAGCAACATCAAAAACAAAGGATTACCGTGGTTTTAACTAAGCTCTCAAGTAATTAGGTGATTGATGCATGTTTGACAGGAGATGAACCCAGTGGTCAGGCCCATGATCAGTTTCCCATCACACAGAGAGTTGGTCTGTGTGGGACACAGACATCCGTGTTGATGATGCTGTCTACGCTGAGGTCCTGGGCCAGCCCCTCCTGCAGGGCTGCCTCAGTCCTCAGCTGAAGATATGTATGAGTGTTTGTATTTTATAATTTCCCTCTGCATGTGTGTGTGAAAATCATGCTAAAATCAAAAGGAACTTTTTAGTAATACCACATTTACTGGTTCTGTTGTTTTCCTTTTTTTGTCATTGATTCGGCCTTTTTCATTCGTGTCTTCCCTGTAGTTGTGTTACAGGAAAGGGGTTGTGATCCACACCCCAGGAGAGGGTTCTTGGATCTTGTGCAAGAAAGAATTCAGGACGAATCCGTAGAGTAAAGTGAAAGCAAGTTTATTAAGAAAGTAAAGGAACAAAAGAATGGTTACTCCATAGACAGAGCAGCCCCGAGGGCTGCTGGTTGCCCATTTTTATGGTTGTTTCTTGATGATATGCTAAACAAGCGGTGGGTTATTCATGCCTCCCCTTTTTAGACCATAGAGGGTAAGTTCCTGACGTTGCCGTGGCATTTGTAAACTGTCTTGGTGCTGGTGGGAGTGTAGCAGTGAGGACAACCAGAGGTCACACTCATGGCCATCTTGGCTTTGGTGGGTTTAGCCGGTTTCTTTACTGCAGCCTGTTTTGTCAGCAAGGTATTTGTGACCTGTATTTTGTACTGACCTTCTCTCTCATCCTGTGACTTAGAAAGCCTTCACCATCTGGGAATGCAGCCCAGTACGTTTCAGCCTTGTTTTATCCAGCTCCTATTCCAGGTGGAGTTGTTCTGGTTTAACACCTCTGACAGTTGGATATACACATCTACTGTCACTGCAGGTCCCACGAGCCCTAAGGGAAAGGGTGTTACTGCTAAATGTATGTAGGCATGCCACTCAGATTTGCTGGTGTGTCTTCCGCACATTCAGCAGCTGCATGGACAAAGTGCACATGGGAGCCTGGCCTTGCAAATGCCTAGTCTCTGCCACAAAGAAGTCGCCTTGAGAGGTTATACTTTAAATAGCAACACAGTTGATGGTGTCCAAGACTTTTCCAGAATTATGACTCACACCACAAAAATATACTTTTAAATGTTTGTAGCTCACATTTTTCAACTTATACAATGTTTGAAATCCAGAATATGGTGCCCTGGCTTGAGCAATCACCATATTCACTAGACTTAAGTTTTAGCTATTTCTCAAATTACAAATAAGTTGTTTCAGTCTTGATGATGATTAAAAAAGAAAAAGGCTTCACCACAGGTCCTAGGGGGCCTCTAAAAGAGGGCTTCCAGAAAATATTTTGTTTAAAACATTTTGCATAATGAGAGCATTGTTAGAATAAAGCCATTTCCTTTGGGCTTCCTGAAAAGAAGTGGCATCATTTGCATTAATTTTGGAATATAAGAAATTATTTTAATAGGCTACAAATGATCAAAGATTGGAACTTCAAATGCTTCGTCTTGTATCACTGGGCATGTTTGTTGTAAAATCAGTTGTGTCTCTTTGTAGTCAAACCTCAGATACAGTAGCAAAACATGTGAGTCGCCAAGATAAGGCAAGATGCATGAACTTATTTCACCCTCTCTCACAGCATAAGATTTCCTGGGGAGAAAGTGGTTGCAGTTAGCTGCCTTCCGAAATTGAAAAGCTATCTGACAGTCATGTGTGGTGGCTGAAACTTGGGTACTGGAACCAGACGCAGCTGGAATGACCTTCTGGTTGTACTGTTTACCAGGCATGTCACTTTAGGCAAATTTCTTCATCTCTTCCAGGCTTGGTTTCTTCATGTGTAAGAGGGGAATGGTAATCCTTTCAGGGTTGCTATGTGAGTTAATCTATGCAATGTATTTATCTAGGCACAGTAAGTACCACATAGTTAGCAATCAATCAATAGGGAGTAATACTACCTCTCAATGAGTAGCAGCTAATATACTGAAGTCCATTTGATGCCTGACTGTGACGCAAACATTACATGGACTCATCTTTACTGGGAGCCTTTGAGTGTGAGAGGAGAAGATGGATCTTGAAAAATGGTCTTTATTCTAAAGCAGTTCACTGTCAAGAGGGAGAGCACAGCTCATAAATAACTAAGGCACACAGCATTGTATCGTGTGCTGTAATTAGGGGCAGAATTAACTCCGAAGACTTGCTCTTTCTCAGCATAGTTGAGTGAAGCAGGTTGGAGCAAAGATTCCAGGGAGAAAGTGAGGACCTGCAGGACTGACATCTTGTCCACTTAACAGCAACCTGTGGAGGGACGCTGAGCACCTTGGGTGGTGTGATCCTGAGCCCCGGCTTCCCAGGTTCTTACCCCAACAACTTAGACTGCACCTGGAGGATCTCATTACCCATCGGCTATGGTAAGTGAAAATGTTACCAATTCCTAAAAGTTCATTTTTTTCATTTCCATCTTGGAAAGAATTAAGCAGAATAAAATGCCTTATTCTGTTGGCATAACTGTATCTGTAATTGAAAGTGGCGTACAGATTTAAATAAAGCTTTGGCAGAGTAACTTTGAGAGTGGAAAACTTATTTGAAAAATCAATTAAGCCATGCAACTCTTTTCAAGGCAAATTAAATTGGCCGAATGATGATATAGTAGGCATACGAAGTACAAAATATAGCATCCCTAATTCAATTATCAATCTCTTTATTTATAATAGCTCTTTTTCTAATCTATCTCTGGAAGTCAATAATGGTTATTGTTTCTTCTGGATAATTCTGAAGGCTTTTTAAAGGTTATGACTCCTTTTAAATATAAAACAACTTTCAAGAAATAGTATTGTTTTATACATTTTTGCTATATATTACATTGTTTTCAGGTTAATAAATAAGTTGTTTTTTTAATATCTAGTTATTAACATTTTAGGTTATTCACCTTAAATAATTCATAAATTTAATTGTTGTGTATACTATTATAGAACCTTTTTCTGGCCTCTCTTCAGAAATGCATGGTCTTTGTGAAATTTTGATCCCCTCTCACGCCTTTCCCTGTCTGCCTCCTGGTTTCCTTCGTATTTTAGTTCATTTATTTGAGTCTCCCTACTTGTGATTTTCTCTACAGCACTCACTTTAGGTAGACCAAGTTAGGTACTTAGTGAATGTCCTCGGGCAGAGTAGCTGGGTATTTCTGTACTAAATAGTAGCTGAATGATGAATGAATGAATGAATGAATGAATACAACCATAAATAGAAATAACTGCCCTGGAAGAAGATCACACACTTTATTCAAAGCTTCTGCTTTTAGAATCTGTGCCCAGGATGGCAGTAGCAGTAGGAGTGAGCAGTCAGGGTGGACTTGCTCAGCAGAGAGTGGCCGGGGAATGAACAGTCGGAATGACGGCCCGACAGGTCAATCAGGCGCTGGACGTGGGAAATGCAGTTGACCAACATGACTGTTCCACAAGAAAAGAGGAGGACTGTGGAAGAGCAGCTCGATGGGGACGGCCTGGGGAGTCCGTCACCTCCCAGTGATCTGTAGGAGGCCACGGTGGTGGTCAAGGAAGGGAGAGACTCTGTGGAAGGATTATTATAGGAGCCCCTGTTTCTCCCGGGTTTCTTGGTTTGCTGGTTTTGTTTTTTTCAGTCATACTCTCTCTGAGCATGAGGCAGTGATTCTGCCAGGGCTAAATGAAACGGAGACCTGGGAATCACCTTCAGCAACGTTGCTTCCACTGTTCTCCCAAGCTGGGCCCATCGTCCTTGCCCTGGAGATCTGGAGACATGAACTTATTGAACTAATCTTTGGAGTCAGGGGTTAAGAATTCTTTCAGAGGTATGTGTAACCCGGGATAGTTTACACAGCACTAGCGCTCTTAAGGACCGGAGCCTTGTTGGTCAAATTATTATAGTCATTAACATCAGAGAATGAGAGAAATCTGAGGCAAACTGCAGCTATCCCTGAAGGAGGTGTGGTTTTTTTAAATGAGTTAAGGCACAGGGGCTCCAGTTTCCTCCTTTCTATACCTGAAATACCCACATAAGGTTATGGTGAGGGTTAATTATAATAATTCTGGCTATTGGGAGGCGAAGGCCGGTGGATCGCAAGGTCAGGAGATCGAGATCATCCTGGCCAACATGATGAAACGCCGTCTCTACTAAAAATACAAAACTTAGCTGGGCATGGTGGCACTTGCTTGTAATCCCAACTACTTGGGAGGCTGAGGCAAGAGAATCGCTTGAACCCGGGAGGTGGAGGTTGCAGTGAGCCACGATCACGCCACTGCGCTCCAGCTTGGTGACAGAGCGAGACTCTGTCTCAATAAGTAAATGAATAAATAAACAAAAATTCTGGCTAGAAGATTAGTGCAGGGTTTGGCACGTGATAAACAACAACAACAACAACAAAAAAGTGAAACAAATAGGAAAGTCACCCAGTTGTATTTTGTATTATTCTTCCAAATGTTTGTCACCTTCTTCTCAAAACTAACTGGAAACATTGTATTTATGAATAAAATAAAATTGGTATAAATATTTTCTTAACTTATTTTTCCAATGTTACTATTTTATCATTTCTGAGAAGGGTATCATTTAGTATATTTCTGTATTTATTTTTTATTTATAAACTATTGTGCGAGAGAATAATTTGGGAAAAAACTTCAATGAAACCAAATTGTCTAAATTCATATTTGGGATCTATAAACCTAAACAAACTATTTAAAGAAAGACTGAAATGAAAAATAACTTATGAAATATCTTTAAACTGATGTAAATCTTAAAAAAATTGGATATTGCATAGCCTGAGGGTTTAAAGAGGATCTAGAAGAGGAGAAAAGAAACTTTATCTCAAATCAAACAGGCATGAAAAGTATTATCCCTAGCTTTTTAGAATAGATGTAGGTAAGCTTCAGAATAATTTGTTATAGATTACATTTGAGTAACGCACCAGGTTTGCCTGTGATAAATTCTATAACCTCTAAACAGTAATAGATACGAAGTGAGAAATTGGGAGGAGAGGCATGTGAGTGGCGATGTGTCCTCTAACGTGGTCAACATTTGGAATTATGATGCCCCTGGTAGGAGTTCTTTCTAGGGCTTAAATCATTTTCGAGCAATTTGCAGAATCTGAGAAAATTTTACTACCTAGCTTTCAACCCCACATTGTTTTATAGTGAAAAACATTTAAGTAAATTAGTTCTATGTATTCATGGCCTTCTTTAATTTCTGCGTCTTCTCCCTTGTAATATCCACTACCAGAACTTGAAGTCTCCGTTCTATGCACATGAGTTTTAAAGCAGCGTCATGAGTCTTGTTTTCAAATGTCAAACCACACTTCGGCCGCATGTGAATGATTTCCTCTGAGTCAGATTCTCCTGTTCAATTCCTAATTTATACCCACAGCACTGCACAGCTCATTTTTGTTTCTCTGAACCTTGCCTTATTCTTGTCAGCAAGCTCTTCTCAGAATCTCCGGAATCATAAGAAAATATCAGATCACACCCTTGGAAATTTTGAGGAAGTAAGTTTGGGGTTTAAGCTCAGACATCTGCACTTACAAATGAAGCACTCACTCCAGAAGTTTTTACGTAAAACAAAATGGGAATATAGCAGAGGTGACCACAATTATCTTGTAATTATGATTTCTCCCCTTTTTGATCTCTCATGTTGCTTCCTATTAACACCCAAACCATAAAGTGATTCTGGAACATTTCCTGTGGTTACAACTCAGAAAAGGGTCCCCTATTTCCTAATGGGACAAGCAGGGAGATTGAGAAGGTAGACAGGTATTTCAACTGACGTCACACAAAAAATATCTTACCAGGATAATGCTGTTAGGGTGATCTTGGTGATCAGGTTGCAAAAGAATAGCCAGAAGATTTGTCTTCCTTAATGCTGAGAAAAGGCATATATGTGATAGGTAGTTCACGCAAGTAACCAGTTAACCAGCTCCTCCTGTAAGTGCAAATGGTGCATTGCTATCACTACTCTGCCTCTCCCCTCCTCGGTTTTCAGAGGTTTGGGAAACTGTGTTAAACAATATTTCCTTTGAAGTATCACTGGAAATTTCAACAAGAAACAGACGTTATGGGAAACTTGATTGCCTTAGACCCTAAGAGAGTGTCAGATTTATAGTAATTTGTGTCTACTTAAACTTGCAACACTAAGTAACAAGGAAAATGACTGCCCCCCAGGGTGCTCAAATTTTACTGTGTGCAGGAAGCCTCAATGGCGGTTGTGCTGTTACAATGTAGCTTCCCGTGGTCTCTTTCCTAAATTCTGACTCAGTGCCCCAGCTGAAGTAGGAAATGAATTTGGCATCTTCCCGAAGCAGCTCCAGTTCCTTGGATGCTGGAGTCAGACTCCTTCAGGAAGCGTTTCTCCAATTTATAGAAGAGCACTTTCAATCTAAATAAGATGAGAAATGCACAAAGGTTTTCACAAGATTCTTACAAATATTACTTATTTAAGAAAAGTTGCTTTCGTGTAAAAATGTAGAAATCATGAGATTTTGGGAAGTTGAAAATAGAGATAGAAGATTATTGAGTATGAAACAAACAGCATGACAAATCAAAACTCCAAAGTGAATTACAAAAGAAAAAAGAAAAAATCGTTCTTGCAAAACATTCTTAAATGTAATTTCTAGGCTTCAGATTGTATCTCTAGTATCTGAACATACATATCTGTTTCCTTGATTGACAGTTTTGGGATTTGGATTCTCAGGGCACAGCTGTCCTACCAGTAAGCGTTGCTCCTCCAGTTACTCTGAGTAATAACACTTATCCGGAATATAAGACGTTATTGCCCCTTCTTGAAGAAAAATATATGGGATGTTTTTCACCTTGGGAGGATTTTATTGGGTATTATGAATCTTCCCATACAACTGGATAAGCATGGGATTGCCTGATCGATTGTCTAATCCAGGAGTTAAGCAGTTGCCAGTTTAGTCAAATAATTATTTTGATTAACTCTACTCCCAGAGCCCATTCCCATGGATCGAGCCACAATTTAAATAAGCAAAAGCGATTAACTGGTTTGGCATCATGTGGAAATCATCTTACCTGGCTTTCCTAATTACTCATTCCAGAAACAGCTGTTTTCTATACCCTGCCTCAGTAACCGACAGTGACCTACTGCGGGACAGTGACCCACACAGCCTGTCCCTCAAAATGACCAAGGGAACTCTAGCCAAAAGAACTGAGGCAGTTGGCAGCATAAGCTGTGGTTGCTCACAATTTTAGGCTCTGAGTTTAGCTGAGTAGAAATCTTAGTCCTACCAATGATTGCACAAGATACTCAAATGTTTTTGAAACTTGTTTCCTTATTTTTAAAGGGAATATAATATATCAGTCCCATAGGGCTATTTTGAAGTATTGTAAATGCATGAAATAGGGTATTATTTAAGTGCTGTTTTTAATAGTTAAACCAAATTCTAGTTTACTTATCTAGTAGCTAAACCTGATAGTTGTGTGCCATTTTCTTTCCTTTTCACAGACTTGGCTTGTTGTTTTGTGATGCTCTGGCAGAGCTCAACCAACTCAGGATTTCGGTCTCCGTTTTCTTGAGAGTGTCTAAGGGCACAGTTAACAGAAATGCAATGAAGCTTTCTGTCTGCCTTACCCCATTATCTTTTATACTTAAAATCTACTGCACTAATAGTGCACACAATGCTCTCCAAAATTACCATGCCATCAGACTTTCTAGAAACATAGGGACAATATAAAAGGTTCTTTAGAATGTTCAATAAATTCCATAGGTATTAACACTTTTGCTATATTTTATTACACACAGAAGGTGCAAAACAGAGGAAGTAATATTCACAGGTTCTATCAACTAAAAACTAGGGTTTAACTCTGAGATCATGGTCACATTACTATTCAAAGTTTTGTCAATGCCAAAGGCAAAAATTCTCTGTGCAGGTGACTTGTCACTGGCACTTAATTTTCAATATGTAATCCCAATGGGATAAGACAGTGCTGGGTAAGTTCCACCAAAGGTAAGTATTCAGATTTTTTATTGTTATTGAAATAATATATATGCTTTAGTACTCTCTGAGACAATAGAAGGATAACCAGGTTATGCTTATTTTAATCCTTTTATTTGGGCTTTACAATGTCAAACTGGATGCAATTTGCTGAAAATTAGATAGCTAGATAATTCTATTTTAAGCCAGATTAGAGCTGGGCTCTGTTCTATTTTCTGATATGTATTAGGTAGTTTGATATGTGGCTGTATAATTTATCCTGCTTAAAATGGTAATTTTGCTCACAATATTATAATTGTCATAATTCCATTTCCTTTTCAAACTGAATTCCAAATCAGTAACAAACCACTTTCACTAGATCCTGTACTTTTGAGACGTTGGATGTCCTCCATTTCTTTGCACCCTGATCCCCTTGCAAGTTGTTATGTTTCGTGACTGTGCCGGTTCATGAATTTCAAAATGTGTTTCTGGATAAATATATCTGAAGTCTGCATATGCGCATCTGAAGTGAGCACATTCTCAGCCATTTCCCTACCATAAAATATTAAGTGTTCCAATCTGGCCCCGGTTTTCCTTCTGTCTGGTACTCTGGACATACGTAGAAGTGCCAGCAATTCAGCAGGTTGTTTTTTGTTACTCTCGGGTCAGCTTCTTGATTCCGCCTGATTGGGATTAATGTGAGCAATGTCTATAAAACTCTGTGGAGCACATGGATTCAATGTTCATAAGGCAGTCACACAAACACACGTGCACACAGACACACAAATGCATGCATGCACACACACACACACAACTCTTTACTCTAGTTTACTTATTAGTAACAAGATTCATTCTTATTAGATTTGTGGGCATACCGCCAAACTGTGTTTTTAGCTCAGTAGTGGGAAGTGGACAAGCAGATCTGGATGTGCCACTGGCTGGGCAGTCCAGGAGCGCAGCTGTCACAGCAGGCAGAGGAGACAGCTCCAAACCAAGGGACACAGGAGCCCCTGGACCCCCTCCCTCCCTTACCCCTTCTCCCTCCCTCCCTCCCCCCCCCCCTTGTTGCCTCTTTCTCTCCCTTTTTTTCTTTCTTTTTTTCTCACTTCTGAGTTCCTTTTAAACAAAAATATTTTCTGGAATTTAGAAACAATAGCTCACTGGTGGTTGTTCAACAAACAGCAGTATTTGACATTTTTGAATATTTGCAGAAATGTTGTAAATTTAAAGAGTTGCTCCACCTTGATTATATACAGCAGACGATGTTAGAATGGCCAAGACCATCACAGGTCCTTTCTTGACTGGCGATGTAGTACCGGTCTATAGACTTGGACAACGTGATATGAATCTAGTTACTCATTCTAAAAAGAATTCTAAATTTTGCTTAAATTATTAAAGATCTTTCTTTTTCTTCTGTATTTTGTCTCCTCAGCCACATCCTGCAGTTTTTCACGTTCTATTTTTTTTAATTCATCCTCTTTCAATCTAGGTTGAACATAATACAAACTGATTTTCTCCAAGAAGAGTGGAATATTTTTACCATCATGAGACTGTCAGCTCTTGTCTAGTCTATTGGCATACCAAACCAGAAAAAGTGAGGCCTTTGTCCGTTAGTGCGGGGTTAAACTTCACTCTGCCATTTCCCGTGTGACATGAGACAGAACATCTAACATTTCAGAGCCTTAGTTTGCTCGCCTGTAAATTATGAGCACGGTGATGATTACTGTGCTGGGAGCAAACTTGGTTGGCAAATCGGACCCCAGGCATACTGTTGGCCCTACGTGATGCCCACCAAGCAGGGCACTATTTACCCTTTTGCTTCTCCCTGCCAAGTTTCTCCATAATTAATGAAATTGTTTTTCTTGTATGACTTTAAATTTTGTTGAGAGATTTTAGGTGTTTCCTCCCTACAATTTTTCACTTGGACTTTTTTCTTCCTTTTTACAAAGTACTGCCCTCTGACAACTGTGTTTTCCTTTGACACCTGAGTGGATGTGTTTGTGTGAATATTTTTATGCACTTCCAATGAAGTAGGAAAACCCAAGTAGGTGTTATCTTTAATTTTCCCAATCTAGGAAATATATTAGATGCAAAAATTTTTTTAAAGTTCTCATCTATCAAAAACAGAAGAACCATGCAGAGTAAAGCTTTCTTTTATACTGGAATAACACTCTACAACTGCTGTTAGTTGGCTCAGTTTAGGTTTTACGGCCCAGCTTAACTGCATGGACTTATGCAAAGACTAATGTCTTTGGAGTTCTATATAAATTGCTTAAATGAGTTAGAATATCTAAGACATAGTAGTCAAATAAGTTTTCAAAAAAAATGCCACAATGCAAATAACTCTCAATTATTTTTATTGTTTCCTTTTAAATTATCAGCCATAGTTTATTTAATTCACAGATGAGTATGATATCAGAGATACTGGTCATTTGAACAGTCTTTTGGTATTCTCAACTGTGCCAGGCTGTTAGATTTAATTGTGAGAGTTATGGTGCGGTTGATTAGATTGGGTTTCTCACAAACATCAATAATTTGTTTTGCACACGTAACACAATAGAAAATGACCGCTTGCTAAACTAATAAACTTGTGCTATGGTATGACCGTCCAGTTAGTAAAAGCCACCTTTAAAGTTGGTTGCATAGAACTGTGGGACAAGGCAAACAGACAAAATAAACAGACAAACACAAAATAAAAACAAAAAAAACTCTGTGGCATGTTTTAAAACCAAAATTGTTGTTGTTGTTGTTGTTTTTCCTTGATAAAGCTATCAGTTAGCTTTTGGGTGATGTAACAGATGATCACAACTTCATATTTAAGATTGTCATAATTGTAAAAGTCACCGGACAAAATCATCCCCGAGTGCGTGTGTGCTAGTTGTTACCTAAGGATTCCACCTGTGTAGCTCTGTGGTACGGTGCTGGTAATATTCATATTTCACAAACAAATTGACTTCTGGACGTGAGTGTCATGGAAAAAGACCATGCGGCAAAAAGTGGCAGAGGTAAGATGGAGCCAGGGTTTGCTGTCATCCACAGTGAATGCCGTCCTCCACGGCATGGTTCTGTCTCACAGAGAGGGATTGTCTGGGGAGACTGCTAACACTTCAGTCCCTTTTTATGAGCATTGATTTTATACATTTTGATATGAACTTTCATTAAGTTTGCATGTTTTTCCATAGGTGCACATATTCAGTTTCTGAATTTTTCTACCGAAGCTAATCATGACTTCCTTGAAATTCAAAATGGACCTTACCACACCAGCCCCATGATTGGACAATTTAGCGGCACGGATCTCCCCGCGGCCCTGCTGAGCACAACGCATGAAACCCTCATCCACTTTTATAGTGACCATTCGCAAAACCGGCAAGGATTTAAACTTGCTTACCAAGGTATGGAACAACAACGAGAACCGAAACCCAAATCTAAATACACTTCTTACATGTAAATTGTATTTAAGTATAAATCTCCCTAACTGGTTCCAAGCTTGTACGAGTGGAATAATTTTTTGGTGGAATGTTGGTTTCTGGTTAGTAGTGGAACACTTGTTGTTTTTGAAAACAGAGGTAAGGACACAGACGGAACCACCAGTGGGTTCGCCTTTTCTGCTGCCCAGACAGAGCCGATTTATCAAGACGGGAATTGCAATGGAGAAAGAGTAATTCACGCAGAGCCAGATGTGTGGGAGACCGGAGTTTTATTGTGACTCAATTCAGTCTCCCCAGCATTCAGGGATTCAAGTTTTTAAAGATAATTTGGCGGCCGGGCGCGGTGGCTCACGCCTGTAATCCCAGCACTTTGGAAGGCCGAGGCGGGCGGATCACGAGGTCAGGAGATCGAGACCATCCTGGCTAACACGGTGAAACCCCGTCTCTACTAAAAATACCAAAAATTAGCTGGGCATAGTGGCGGGCGCCTGTAGTCCCAGCTACTCGGGAGGCTGAGGCAGGAGAGTGGCGTGAACCCGGGAGGCGGAGCTTGCAGTGAGGAGAGATCGCGCCACTGCACTCCAGCCTGGGCGACAGAGCCAGACTCCATCTCAGAAAAAAAAAAAAAGATAATTTGGCGGGCAGGGGCTTGGGAAGCCGGTAGTGCTCATTGGTCAGGTTGGAGATGGAATCACAGGGGGCGGAAGTGAGTTTTTCTTGCTGTCTGCTGTTCCCGAGTGCGATGGCAGAACTGGTTGGGCCAGATTACCGGTTTGGGTGGTGTCAGCTGATCCACCAGGTGCAGGGTCTGCAACATATCTCAAGCACTGATGTTAGGTTTTACAATAGTGATGTGATCCCAGGAGCAATTTGGGGAGGTTCAGACTTGGAACCAGAGGCTGCATGACCCCTAAACCATAATGTCTAATCTTACAGGTAATTTGTTAGTCCTGCAAAGACAGACTGGTCCCCAGGCAAGAAGGGGGTCTTTTCGGGAAAGGGCCATGATCAATTTTGTTTCAGAGTCAAACCAGGAATTGAATTCCTTCCCAAATTAATTCAATCTATGTCCAGGAATGAACAAGGACAGCTTAAAGGTTAGAAGCAAGATGGAGTTGGTTAGGTCTGGTTTCTTTCACTGTCATAATTTCCTCAGGTATAATTTTGTAAAGGCGGTTTCACAGACGCACAGGGGATGATGAGGTACGGGTGTTACCTAAGCTTCACCTGTACTCCCATCCCACCTGCACACACTCTCTCCCATGGCCGTAGTCAACTGTGTGCTCAACTGGGGAGTCTCATCATCATGTAGCTTTCCCATTTGTCACTATGTCCCTCTGAGCTCTCGTCCCTTCAGGACACAGAGAGTCCCATTGTGCACGGAGTTGATCCATATGGCAGTAAGTCTGTAGGTCTCTCAGGTATGTATGCCTTGCCTTAGCACAGATAATGGGTACCTGCATTGTTCATGTTCAACTTTCACCACAAAAAGAGAAAAAAAATCAGTGATTGAACTTTATCCTTTTTATTCCTTCAAATATGCAATCTCTAAGAAAAGTTTGCATCATCAAAGCATTTTTGACATGTGAAAAAGTTCAACATTTTAATTTCATGCAAAATAATTTGTATGGCCTTTCCTTGAATATTGCTAGATCAAATGAGGTTGAAAACGTTAAATCTAGAGCCTAACTTTTTTTTTTTTTAATATAGTTAAATCACTTGTTTCCCTAATTCCACAGAATGCTTAGAAACAGGGCTTTGATATTTATTACTGAAAGAGGCTAGTATTTTATGATGAACTCTTTGGCATTATTATGTGTAGTCTCACCTAAAATATAAAATATAGACACAGACTTCCAGGATTGAGGTCTGTTAAACTGGAAATCTAGGTAGGAGCAAAAAAGAGAGGAAACTGGAGACTAAACCAGTGAGCAATATGTCTCTAGACATTGCCAGCATTTTTCTATGAAACACTCTTTCTGTGTTCCCCTTCTTTATTTTCTTACTACTTAGCAAACAGTATCACTCACTAATCATTCCCTACTTGAAGCACGAGAGAGAAAAACAGAGAGAGAGAGACAGAGAGAGAGAGAGAGAGAGAACATCAGAGAGGAAGCAACTTCCCACAACAAAATGGATACAGATCTGCTTGCCTGTGCATCTATTCTCTGCTCTCTCTCTTTTTCAATGGAAGAGAATGTACCTCCTACTTAAGGGTAATCGGGGCTGGGTGTGGTGGCCTCACGCCTGTAATCCCAGCAGTTTGGGATGCAGAGGCGGGCTGATCACCTGAGGTCAGGAGTTTGAGACCAACCTGGCCGATATGGTGAAACCACATCTCTACTAAAAATACCAAAATTAGCCGGCACATGATGGCAGGCGCCTGTAATCCCAGCTACTCAGGAGGCTGAGACAGGAGAATCACTTGAACTCGGGAGGCGGAGGTTGCAGTGAGCCAAGATCACACCATTGCACTCCAGTCTGGGTGACAGAGGGAGACTCCATCTAAAAAAAAAAAAAAAAGAAAGAAAGAAAAGAAAAAAGAAAGAAAAAAAACGGTAATCTATCCTATGCTCTAGGTACCTCTCTTCCTACTATTTCAGAGACATTATTTAGAGAATATTTTCTATTTCTGCATTTTCAGCTACTATCCATGAAATTTTCCCCAATAGCATCTTGAATATAACTCAGATCTGTCTCTCACACATCGACACACACACATACACACGTACATATCTATTTATAATTTTAATGTACCTTGGACCTCTTGTCTTCCTCCAGCTTCTAATTTCTAAAACATAGTTCCAGAAAACTTATGTAAACATTCTCAATTTCTACACCTGTTTTTCACTTCTCCTATCTATTTACCTGGTGTCTAACATGATGGGGTCTTCTATCGACAAGATCTTCTATTGCAGGAGATGTTAATGTCACTAGCCCTGGAGGCACACTTCCTTTCTCATGTCTCCTGGTGACATCCAGCATGGCTACCATTTCTCTTGACGCCCTTTTCCCTTGGCTTCAGGGGCCAGAAAATCTCTGGGTTATTCTGCTATCTCTCTGGCTAAGTTGTTATTTTCTTTGCTTCCTTGACCACTTCTAACTGACTTTAGCTATATAGGAGGTTGGAATCCTCCTATATTTCCATCCTATGCTTTCCGTGATTCAAACTCCTGGATTCAAAGCCCATGATGGCCATTCACAGCTGATAACTCTTGTGCCTGTGCCTCCAGCTCAAGTCTTCTGCAAGCGCCAGGACACAATGTTTGTTTTCCACCTCCTCTGGGAATGACGCAGGCACTGAAACATGTGCCCGAAGCTGAGCTCGCAGTTTTGCTTCCCAGCTTATCCTCCAGTGCCCCCATCTCACTAAGTGTGAGGTGCAGTGTTCCTGGAATCTGCGGCTGCCTCCCTGTGTCACCACCAGTAGCCGTAACTGCTCTCAGACCTTTCTCCTAGAAAATGGCCAAACTCCTAAATGTCTTTCCAGATTTACTCTTCCAACTTCTCTCTTCTTTCCAAAAGGCAGACCGGACTTATTCCTTTTGTGATGAAAGCGTTTACCATGCTTTCTTAGATTTTCAGGAAATCGTTCAACATCTATAAGGATCTGCTGTCTCTCTGGCTAAGCTCTTATTTCTGTCTCCCAGGCTGTGGTTCTTTCTCTGTCTCGATTCTCACTTGCCCCTCTGAAATATCTCCAGCAGCCACAGTCCTTTCTACCTCAGAGCTCTTGCACGTGTAGCAATCTCAGCCTGCAATGCTTTCCATCTCCACTCCCACTCTTTGGTTAGTCATTCGGAACTGTTTCTATGTAATACCCTGCAGGAGGCAATGTCTGAGTACTCCGACCAGGGGAGGTCTCCTCATTCAGAAGCTTGAATTCTGATGTGCTTCTTCTTGTGTGCTGGTCACGAGCATTCCCACCAAATCTCTCCCATTCTCTCTACTTCTGGACTCAGGATAGAGGTGCCTTCAAAATGAAGTGTGGTGGTGTGACTTGCTTTCAGTGATGAAATTGGAGTGAATGTCACTTGGGATGGAACCCTGAAGAGCCAAAATTTAGTTTGCTCTAATGGCCACTCAGTCATCTGGATCCCTGAGTATCTACAGGAGTAGAGTTCCCTGCCATCCCAACCTGGAACCAGAAGGAAGCTGCCTTATTTTAAGTCACTGAGATATGGGATATGGTTTTTTGTTTTCGAGAGGGAATCCCACTCTGTTGTCCAGGCTGGAGTGCAGTGGCACAATCTCAGCTCACTGCACCCTCTGCCTCCCAGGTTCAAGCAATTCTCCTGCCTCAGCCTCCCAAGTAGCTGGGATTACAGGCACCCGCCACCATGCCTGGCTAATTTTTTTATTTTTAGTAGAGACAGGGTTTCACCCATGTTGGCCAGGTTGGTCTCGAACTCCTGACCTCAGGTCATTTGCCCTCCTCATCCTCCCAAAGTGCTGGGATTACAGGCATGAGCCACTGCGCCCAGCCGGGATATTGTTGTTAATGCCATATAAATGAACCTAGACTGACAGGCATACCCTGGGACTTTTTAAAATCAGGAATTTATTGTATACAGTCAGCCCTCTGCATCCATGAGTTCTGCATGTGTGGATTCAAGCACTAGAGATCAGAATATTCTGAAATACACAACACATGGTTGTGTTTCCACTGAACATGCACAGACTCTTTTTCTTATCATCGTTCCCTGAGCGATACAGAATAACAACTATTTACACGGCATTTGCTTTGTGTTCAGTATTATAAGAAATTTAGAGATGGCTTCAAGTATACAAGAGAGTGTGCTTAGATTTTATGAAAATGCACCATTATTTTATATTCCTCCTGTAACCCACCTGCAAAAGCCAAGGGACAACTGTATTTCTATGTTTAAAGGATGCCTTACTGAAAACAATACACTGCATGAAGGTGACGGTCATTTCTGTTTTACCTCGCTCCGCGCTCAGCAGGAAGCGCAGTGCCTTACCTGTAATTGCTCCCCAGTGCACACCTGTGAGCTCCATACTTGAGGTGTTTATTCCCCCTGATGCTAAGGGACTTTCTGCCGTGCTGCATATACATTTTCGGAAGCACCTGTGCAGGGCTTGCCTTTATTTGTTTGAGGTCTGTGCTCCGGCTTCCTCATTAAATTAAATCAATTTTTAGTCCCTACGCATTGCGGATATTGCTAGCAAAACTCTTTTAAAGGATAAAAAATTGTAGCTAGATAGGAGGAATAAGGTCTAGTGTTCTCTAGCCCTTTAGGGTGACTGTAGTCAACAATAATATGTCCCATCATTTCACAGAGCCAGGAGGATATTGAACATTCCCCCCACAAAGAAATGATAAAGGCTGGAGATGATGAACATACAGATGTAGTAATTACCCAGATCTGATCACTTAGATTATATGTATTGAAACATCACTATGTACCCCATGAATATGTGCAATTATTATCTCTCAATTAAAATAATAAAATTTAAAAAAAATATGTTTTTAAATTCAAAACAGTATTACATAGAAAAAAATTTTTAAAAAAATTTAGCCAATTCATGTCACTGCAGATACTGGCACAAATACCATGTGTCCAGTCTTGGTAATGTTGGATTTTGTAGAAGGCTTCTTTAAGGGATTGTGCTTTCAGCCAGAGAAGTATCAGTTACCCAGGGATGGTGGGATTCACAGTTACTTTCAGGAAACATGACCCCAAGGATTACCTCAGGCACTGGTGGTCCTACCCATGTGTGCAAACAGCTCTGAGTGTACCCTGGGTATAACCACTGATATAAAAATATTATCAATGGCAGTGGTGTTCTTCTCTTCTATTCACTGCATCTCTTCCGTCGCTACCAGAAATCCGAAAGGGATGAGCCGGTCACGGTGGCTCATGTCTGTAATCCCAGCACTTTGGGAGGCCGAGGTGGGTAGATCAGCTGAAGTCAGGAGTCGGAGATCAGCCTGGCCAACATGGTGAAACCCCGTTTCTACTAAAAATACAAATACTAGCTGGGCATGGTGGGGAGCGCCTGTGATCCCAACTTCTCAGGAGGCTGAGGCAGGAGAATCGCTTGAACCTGGGAGACCAGAGACCGGGGTTTGTAGTGAGCCGAGATCATGCCATTGCACTCCAGTCTGGGTGACAGAGCGAAACTCTATCTCGGGGGGCAAAAAAAAAAAAAGAAAAAAAAAAGGCTTGGTTGTCCTCTCTGCAACACATAGACACGTGTATCACTGTTACATATAATTGTGAAAATAGAGCCTTGATCATATTCTAGGACTAACCCGGACTCCATAGATGAGCCATCAATTAGTGGCTAGATGTAATGCATGAGGGGGGGACAAAGATCCAGGATGTTCCCCATGAGTCTGCCCTCTTTGATTGTAAATGATAGAAATCTGAATGAAACTAGTTTAGGAAAGAAGTGCAAGGTGACAGCTGTGTGGGCTGGGGCATGTCTGGAGCCTGGGCCTCAGTGACACCTGAATTCTTTTTGCCCCTGTTGTGATTTTCATAGCTTTTTCTGCCCTAATACACATGGATGATATGTCCCCAATCTAACCATACCCTGCTCAGCAAGGACAGGACCCTGCTTCTCCTACTGCAATTGCTAAACATTTTGGGAACACTTTCTTGGTGGGCCAGCTTGTGTCTAAGTCCAGCCACTGAGGCCAGGTGGACAGAGACTATGTGTTAGGTCAACTTGGGTCACAGAGTCAGAAATGTGATCAGCAGACTTCACTCAAGAGCATGTTTTAAAGGGGAAGAAGCCGGTTCACAGAGTCAGAAATGTGATCAGCAGACTTCACTCAAGAGCGTGTTTTAAAGGGGAAGAAGCCGGTTCACAGAGTCAGAAATGTGATCAGCAGACTTCACTCAAGAGCGTGTTTTAAAGGGGAAGAAGCCGGTTCACAGAGTCAGAAATGTGATCAGCAGACTTCACTCAAGAGCATGTTTTAAAGGGGAAGAAGCCGGTTCACAGAGTCAGAAATGTGATCAGCAGACTTCACTCAAGAGCATGTTTTAAAGGGGAAGAAGCCAGTTCCTTTAAGAAGGTACCTGGAAAAACAACATAATACATATGCCATGGAACAGTGATATAATTGGATTAAAACTCTATGTAAATGAAGTATTTGTATGCAAGAGATTTTTATTAGTGTTTTCTTATGTCCTCATGTGCTTCTGCAGAAGTATTATTAGTTGGTTTGGAAGAGCTAATTGCCCCTGTTTTACTATATTAAAAATAAATTGCAGCACTTTGGGAAGCCAAGGCGGGAAGATTGCTCAAGGCCAGGAGTTCAAGACCAGCCTGGGTAACATGGTGAGACCCTGTCTCTACAAAAAATTAGCTGGGCGTGGTGTTGGACACCCGTGGTCCTGGCTACTTGGGAGGCTGAGGTGGGAGGACTGCCTGAGCTTGGGAGTTCAAGGCTGCAATGAGCTGCCATCACATCACTGCACTCCAGCCTGGGCATCAAAGTGAGACCCTGTCTCAGTAATAATAATGACAATAATAACTGTTACGTATGGTGTGCTCACTCTGCGCCACACTCTATGCTTCCTGATTTCCACATAAATTCCAAGGGTTATGCACATTTCACAGATAAGAAAAATGAGGCTCAGAGAGGTTGGCAAATTGTGAAAATGTGCACAGCTGCCTGTGGAAGTATGATTTGGAATCAAGTCTGCTAGACACCAAAGTAGTAGTGTCAGCCAAGCTATTGTATTTCAGCAGAAGGAAGGGAAATGAAGTCTTTGGATTCTAAATCCAACGATTTAGTCAGTGCACTAACAGGGGAAAGAATGTTTAAACCTAATGAAGTCAGTTTAAAAAGAACAATTTTCTCCCACAAGTTGCAAAACCACTCGACCATCCCTAAGCTGCAGAACGGCCACTGTGGGAAAACTCCGATCACAGTTTTTCGTTTTGGACCTGACACCTGACAGATCTGCCTGCTCCTCTCAAGTTTTACGGCTGTGAAAATAGCCTCGCCAAAACCCTGAGAGTCAAACGTTCTCCACAAGGACTTGCAGCGCATGCCTTCGTGGTTGGATGCAGGTGCTGCCTGTGACCGTGGAATCCAGATGTCCGCTGTGGCTGCATTGCCTCTTGCAGATCCAGGGTCATGGTTCAGGAACTGCCTAACATCACGGCCTCCGGACATCAGAACCCTTGCCCTTGATTTGTGCAGCAAACACTGGCAGAGCTCTTTCTTTCTTTTCTTTCTTTTGTTTTTCTTTTTCTCTTTTTTTTCTTGTTTTTTTGAGATGGAGTCTCACTCTGTCGAGAGGCTGGAGTGCAGTGATACACTCTCGGCTCACTGCAACCTCTAACTCCCTGGTTCAAGTGATTCTCCTGCCTCCTGAGTAGCTGGGACTGCAGGTGCCTGCCACCATGCTTGGCTAATTTTTGTAGTTTTAGTGGAGACAGGGTTTCACCACATTGGCCAGGCTGGTCTCCATCTCCTGACCTCATGATCCGATCTGCCTGCCTCGGCCTCCCAGAGTGCTGAGATTACAGGCGTGAGCCACCGCGCCCGGCCTGACAGAGCACTTTCTAGGACTTTGCAAGAATTCGACCGGCCTTTAAGGCCATGCCACCCTTTCTCAGTTTGACTTGTGAGGCAGCTGCAGCGCAGCCTGGCAGTGAGTGTCATGAGCAGTGGTCAGTTCATGGAGGGGGAATGAGTCCAACCTGTAGGTCCTGAGCCAGCGAGAGGTGCTGGGCACTCCTGCCAGCAGCCTCCTGTCTCTTCGCCTACCTCTGATCACACTCACCCCTCCCCTTCCCAGAGCTAAGCTCTATGCCCGCCCCTCCTGACTGCAGCCCTAAAGCCCAGCCATAGGTTTCTCCTCAGAACCCCTTCATTCCTGGTGGGTTAGGGGCTTCACTCTCGTCTGCCGGTGTCCACGTGAGCCTTCCAGTGTAACAGTAACAGGATTGCCTTCTGCTCCCAGGGGCGCCTCTCTTCCCCTGAGGCCAAGGCACCCCCAGCTGCTATAAGTGGCATCCAACACAAGACAGACCCAAGCTCTTTCAGGAGAGACTGAGGACGATTGTAAAGGGGAGGCTCTGAGGGATCCTCAGGTCAGCCGGCATCCCCGGAGGGTAGTGGAAAGTAGCCTCCTGTTGAGAGAGCAGTGAGATAGAAAGAGCAGGCGGGGGACCCAGGAAGACAGCAGCAGCCAAGAAGGGGCCCCATTGGGACAGCAGCAGCCAAGAAGGCCCAGGAGGACAGCAGCAGCCAAGAAGGGGCCCCAGGTCGGCCTCCCCCAGGTCGCTGAGGAGAAGCTGTGTGCCGGCCCACGCTGCAGTGGGTGACATCCAGGGGCCTGGGGAAGGATGCAGGCTCACGCAGAGCTGGGCTAATACGCCTTTTATTCCAGTGTATCCATAGGACAGGCAAGTCAGCTAACCTCATATGAGGCCAAGTGGGAGAGGTTCCTCCCAGGTGAACGGAGCGGCACCCTCAGCCTTCTTGTAGACCTGGGCGAAGGAGGGTCTTCCCACTTAGATATTTCCTGGAGCACAGAAGGCTGGGAGTGGGTTCCTAACCTTCCTGTTTCCTGTTTCCTAGGATTAAAGGGCAAGAAGTTGGAGCTTGTGTAGCTCCTGAGCTCCAGAAAGAAATAAGAGCTTGGGCTTCTCCAGAGTAGTGGAGTCAAATTAGGAGAGAGTGAGGGAAGGAATGATATGGTGAATAGTTGTCTTGTTATGCAGATTACAATTGCTCAGGTAATAAAGCAACTGCCCTCTTGATGCAGCTATTCAGAACTACTTTTGTATCTGCAGTTTCTCAGAATAATCTGGTGGAAATATACCAAAGAAGTGTGTTTTGGGGTGGCATATTCTGGTCTTCTAGAGTCATATTTTGGGGTGGTGTCCTGAGCCCCAACACTATCTAGAACTGATGAGACTGAACTCATCAAAGTGACACTTTGAAGACAAACAGCTTACTTTCATAGATCAGTGTTTAATTATTTCCATTTTTGAATAAAACATTATTGTAGTATTTTATAACTTGTGAAGGTCTCTGTAATCTAAACCCATTAAGTTGTATTTTAAGTCAAATTTTTTTGAAGGCCGTCTATGTATTAGGCTAGCATGAGAATGTAATTTCTGTGCCAAGAGCTAGGAATTAAAAAAAAAAAAGATACATGGGTGTTTTGTAAAATAATGTCATAATTTAATAGAAAACTAGATTTTCAATTACAAAATTAAAATCCAACATGATCCTCTCTGTGACTGAGATATCTGCTGAGGTCTGAGGGTAAAACCCACTGGGTGGCCTCGCAGAGCAGGCACACTGAGCAGGCTTTCCCTGAGAAAGTTCCACGTGAGCAGAACCTGGAGGCCACGTGTGAACCCTGGCTTACACTAGAGGTGGCATTATGGCTACCAAAGGTGAAGGATGAGTTTGGACATGAGCCAGTGGAGTGATGGTATTGGATTGTGAAGGAATTTGCATCCCCTGTTAAGACCATGAATTTAGTTCTCTACACCAATAGTTCTGGGGCCTTGAGGATAGAATTCAAGGAATCTATTACTCAGATGGTAAATATATACATAACAATATTATGTATTTTTCCCCTTAAGCTTTAATTAATATTTAGCATTTCCTTACATTTTAAAGGCAGGCAATAATATTAAAATAGTATTAGCAGGCTGGGCACAGTGGCTCATGCTTGTAATCCCAACATTTTGGGAGGCCGAGGCGGGTGGATCACCTGAGGTCAGGAGTTCAAGACCAGCCTGACCAACATGGCAAAACCCCGTCTCTACTTAAAATACAAAAAGTAGCTGGGCATGGTGGCAGGCAACTTTAATCCCAGCTACTCAAGAGACTGAGGCAGGAGAATTGCTTGAACCCAGGAGATGGATGTTGCAGTGAGAAGAGATCACGCCACTGCACTTTAGCCTGAGCAATAGAGTGAGACTCCATGTCAAAAAAAAAAAAAAAAAATTAGTATTAGCATAACCTGTGACTTTGTCACCAAATCATAGATAATCCATTGCTTTGTTTCATTTAGTGCAGATATTTCTTTTTTTATTTTATTTTATTTATTTATTTTTTCTTTTTTTTCTTTTATTATTATACTTTAAGTTTTAGGGTACATGTGCACATTGTGTAGGTTAGTTACATATGTATACATGTGCAGATATTTCAAAATGTTACTACACCATGGTTTGAAGTTGCCTCAGTTATTAGACTTGGCCATGTGTTGTTTAGTGAAATAACATACATAATGTTAAGCCACAAATTTTGCTTTATCGCACTTTTGTAGGAATATTTTAAAATGGCTGGTTTCCTTTGTAATCTTATGTATTTTATTTTATACAGTAAGACATTAGTTTGAGAAACTTATTAGACTTCCCAGAATGCCAAAGTAGTTCAGATTAAAACAGTTATGAACGCTGGAGGACCGTAAGAAACTATCGCGGATTTTAAAGTGAGAATGACAATGACCTTAGACACATTTTAAGAGCCTAATCTGGTACAATGTAGATATGGACTGTTACAGAAACACTTGTTGCAAATAGAGTGAGACTGGAGGCAAAAACATATGTTTAGGGCATTGATTTGAAGTTGCAGCCATAGAGGCTGCAGCCGTGCCCAGGCTGAAGCTGTGTTAGTGGTGCCTGCTGTGGAGGAAATGATTGGGGTGATGTTTAGGTTGTGAGCGGGGGCCTGGGGTCTGCCACTCTCTGGGGTGGCATTGAGATTTGAAGGACTGGAAGGAGACATGGCTGCACGTGCTAGGAAGAGTTCTGGGTGGAGAGAAGCCCGATGAGTTGAGAGAAGAGAAAGGAACAAGGCTGGTGCACTGGGAGCGGAAGGTCAGAGGGCTTCCCCGGGTCAGGGGGCCTGGGGATTTGGCTGTGACGCATTCAGGTTGTTTTCTAGGTGCAATGTGATGTCACTGAAGAAGCTCAAGCAAATGAGAAGTTGCTTACATGCAGAGAATGAATTGTATGTGGATGGGGGTTGGGGGAAGCGAGGGAAGAGTAGAGCAGGGGAAGCAGTGAAGAGGCTTCCAGGAATTGGGGGCGGGAGGCTTTCAGCTCCAACACACCTGCATCGCCTCGTCTGGCTGTATGCACGACGTACAATTTGAATAATGTGAATGATGAATGTTGTGCTTCTCTCCCATCTTCCTGCTCAACTGTCCCCTCCCTTGCCCCATTCCTAGTGAACTACATCCTGTTAAAATACAAACACTTCCTCCGTGATCATCATGTTAAACTTGCTCATTACATGGTAATTTCCATTTTTAATGAGCATGATCTTAATATCTGAGCCAATAAGAAAAATAGAACATAATTATATGCCATAAACCATTAACTGTCAATTAATTGGTGTATCTCAGTTGACACCAAGCACTTGCAAGTCTCCCACATTTTGAATATTCTTAATACCATATTCAACATTTAACTTTTCTTTTCTTTTTTTTTTGGGACAGAGTCTCACTCTGTTATTTAGGCTGGAGTGCAGTGGCGCGATCTCGGCTCACTGCAACCTCCGCCCCCCGGGCTCAGGTGATTCTCCCATGCTGAATAGCTGGGATTACAGGTGTGTGTCAACATGCCCGGCTAAATTTTGTATTTTTAGTAGAGACAGGGTTTCACCATCTTGGGCAGGCTGGTCTTGAATTCCTGACCTCAAGTGACCTGCCTGCCTCAGCCTCCCAAAGTGCTGGGATTACAAACATGAGCCACCCCGCCCGGCCCAGCTCCACAGTTTTTTTTTAAAAAATGGTTTTGTTGCTGAGTAGCTGGGATTACAGGTGTGTGTCACCATGCCTGGCTAATTTTTGTACTTTTAGTATAGAGAAGGTTTCACCATGTTGGGCAGGCTGGTCTTGAACTCCTGACCTCAAGTGATCCACCCACCTCGGCCTCCCAAAGTGCTGGGATTACAGGCATGAGCCACTGAACCCGGCCCAGCTCCATAGTTTTTTGTGTTTTACTCTTGATATTTTACAGGTAAGGTTATTAAGGCCATGTCTATGTAGTTCCAAAAGCTACCAATTATTTCAATCTGTAATAATGGTCTATAAATAAACAAACAAGCAAACCTGCAAAAAGCCCATGTAGGAATCATCTAGAGCACAGGTCAGACAATTGCTTTGGTTGACTCACAAAATATTTAATATTTACAAAAATCAATTATCAGTATTTAGAATTCCATGTTATGTAATTTATGAGATACCCATAAATCCCCTTTCCCTTTTTCTCCTGCAATAGCAGAGTCTGGAAATATTTGTCCTGCATTCCCACGTAGGAGAGAACCCTGGCAAAGTGGGCCTGACTTCAGGGCCTCCTCTAGTTTCTTACTGTCTTGCTCATTGATGTTGACTCCGTGGCCTTTGAGCGTTAGAAAGCATAAGTCCTCTCCTAGGTCAAGCATCTGGTTGGCTAAGCAAGTGTTTTATTTGCTTCACACTTAACTCCATGCTAGTATTGTTTGTCACGCAGCTTTTAAAGGATTTGTGAGATACCCTTAGATCTGCTTTCCCTTTGTCTCTTGCAATAGGAGGATCTGGAAACATTGGTCCTGCTTTCCCATGTCTTGACACCCCATTCCAAGCCAGATGTCAAGGAGAAGAAAGGACTTTCAATTAAAAAAAAAACAAAAACTCGAAACAACATGTTTTTTATTGTACGCCATTAATTTCCTATCACTGAGATATAAAAATAAATAATACAAATAAATGAGAACATGAATTTGAGCTATTTTATTTTCTTGTAGGGTATCATATCTGACAGAGGTGACACTTAATTAGATAGTTTGTCAGTGTTTGCCATTTTATAAAATTGATAAATTGATAAGATGACACTTAACTCTGATATGTAAGTCAAATAAACATTCCTAGGTTCTACTTGAGATTTAGAAGCTAAGCTTATAATTAATAACTCCTAAGAAGATGCATAAATCATACAGAGAATTCTTGTCATTTTCAATGATGTCTGTGCTGTACACCTTATTCTTAAAGTTTGTCATTTATTTATGACCATGTAAAGGTCAGAGATGTTACTATAGACGTAGCTGTCTTGAAGTTAAATGACTTATTAAGAACTTTGGTAAAATCAAGCCATGCACTCTATTTCTAAGTCAAGAATTGAAAAATTGATAATAGCATGAAGATATTTATCAACTAACTAGATATTAGCGGGAAAATAGACATTAGGGGGATTACTGCATGGTCTCGTTGCACTTATGATTTAAAAACTTGATGTGAATAATAGTTATTTTTTTCAGATCTAAACAAAGGATTCCTTTATAAAAGATAAAATTCTCTGTGTTATTTTACTTTTGTTGGTATTGCCTTGGGCTTATTGATACTTAGATTTTCATAATACTCATAAAAATTTTGCCATGTTAAAGATTTTAGTGACTTCCTTTTCTTTTAGGTTTTGCAATTTGGAGAAGTTAAGTCCCTCCCTCCCTCCCTTCTTTCCTTCCCTCCCTCCCTCTTTCCTTCCTTCCTTCTTTCCTTCCCTTCCTTCCTTCCTTCCTTCCTTCCTTCCTTCCTTCATTCCTCCCTCCCTCCCTCTCATTCCTTCCCTCCCTCCTTTCCTTCCTTTGTTCTTTAGTATCTTCCTCTCTTTCTTTTCTGTGTTATAAAGCATATTGCTGCATTCTAATGCATAAACTTTTTTGGGAAAGAAAACTTATTCAATGCCAAAATCTCAAAGATAATTTTAATGCTTTAGGCATAGCAAGTAAAAATGTCTTTTATTTTCAAAGTTCCACTGTTTTTCTTCTTCCTTTTGCTATGTGTGCCAAACACCATTTTTAAAGATAATCGAATGTGTTAAATCTGTTTATTCTTCATCACAATCATAAAACTGCTGAATTTTATGTGAAATGATTTTCTTAGAAAATAGGCTATAGTTTGTTATACCAATTTTTCCCCTTTAGAAGAACAAGCAATTAAGCCACCTCCAGGCACAATGAACATCTGAACAATTCATTCTGAATTATGTGAGCATGCAAACTGTTGCTTGTATACAAACCATAATTTGTACATAAAGTTGATATGCTTCTAAAACTGCATCATTCCTTTTCCTTTCAACGGGGGATTCTGAGCGACTTTGAGTAATTAGGGGAACAGGGCAAGGGTGCTTACTCAGTCTCTGTTTTTACCCGTCTGCATGAGTGAATTGAGCTTTCAACCTAAGGCTTTACAAAGATGCCTCTTTTGCATGAAAGTGCTTCCAACAGTGACCCCAAAGAGTTGTAGCAATCCCCATCCCCGCTAGGGCAACCATGTACGAGACAGAAAAGGCTAAGATTCCCCTTAGTTTGTGGACAAGACTCTTAGAAACTAGGACCTGAATCTTCATTGTTGACGGATGTTCTCCCTGCAGATCACAGGCATCTACTCCTTCTTGTATGGGTTTTCTGAAAGCAAAAGCAACACTCTCACCTTCTCCTTTAAATGATCCATTCCTCTGAACCAAAAGCTGACGTTCTCAGCGTGCATCAGTAGACCCGTCTCCTAGGTGAAGGCACCTTCAGATTTCCACATTCCACTTGCTGCAAGCCTCTCTTGCAATGCAGGGAGCACGTTTCATGTGCAGGCTGGTCCTCCCGAAGCATTGATGTATAAGCCTGTAGTCTCAGCGAGGCCCAAAACTCTGACAACTTTTGCAACAGTTTGGTTGGCTTCATAAGCAGGTGCTGGGACTAGGAGCTAAGAGAACAAATGGAGCATAATTAGGCAGAAAATATGTCTTAGAGTTGAGAACCAGGGTGATATCCTTGGTTATAAAGAAAGAGTGATATGCTATCCCAGAAGTTTAGAATAGCCGATAGATATGGGAAATTGGTGAGCTTCTGTATGTGTGCACTTGGGAAATTCTGTGGACTACCATTCATGGCTGACATGCTACTGAGACCCCAGATGGATCTTTTCATTGATAGGGAAGCTGAGGACTCAAGCGGGGCTTCAAAGTCTTCAGTGTACACCTTGATGTAAACTGCAGCCCTATTCTCTGTAGCAATGCCCTTTTCTTAGAGTGATTCACCCTAATTCCCACCACCAGAAGCAGTAGCCTCCTCCTGGGTCTGTCTCCATCAGAGCAGTTGCTCGAGGGCTTTGCCTTGATTAATGAGAAATATTTTATCAAAGAAACTAGACAATTCTTTCCATCAAGACTAAGCTTTACTGAACTAATATATGCCAACACTGATTCATTTCTTTTAGCATCCCATTTAATTCTGTGGCCCTTGTATAGATGGGTATATTTAGTCTCCTTTCATGAATGAAGAAATGAGCCTCCTGGGATTAAGTGGAATGTTCAAGTCCCCGTATTGGCACAACCAGGCTGAACTCAGGTCACACCAGGGTGCCTCACCTATTTTGCAAAACTACTTCAAGGCTCATGTATGTACTGCCGAGGTAGATTTCTTCATGTGTTGATGATTCTCTAATTCAACTTTTTTCTTTTTTTGAGGTGGAGTCTAACTCTGTCACCCATGCTGGAGTGCAGTGGCACGATCTCAGCTCACTGCAACCTCTGCCTCCTGGGTTGAGGTGATTCTCCTGCCTCAGCCTCCCGAGTAGCTGGGGTTACAGGCATCTGCTACCACGCCCAGCTAATTTTTGGAATTTTAGTAGAGATAGGATTTCACCATGTTGGCCAGGCTGGTTTCAAACTCCTGATCTCAGGTAATCTGCCCACCTCGGCCTCCCAAAGTGCTGGGATTACAGGCATGAGCCACGGCACCTGGCCTTAATTCAACTTTTTAATGACAGATAATACAACAACTCTTATAGAACTAATAGAGAGAATGCCTTCAGAAGTCTTTAGGAATTGCCCAGTATGGGGATGCAGAAGTTGTGACCTTCAGCTGAATCAGAATTTGTTTGATAATCGTGGCTTTTACCACCCTTTACCCTAGAAGGTAACTTCTTTATCAAATTCCACTGAAGTGATCTTTTTTTCTTTTTCTCTCACTTGATGACTTTCTTTCTTAAATTAAAACTTTTTATATGTTTACAACCCATTTATGAGGGTGAATGCTTTTATGATGGGTACAGAGCAAGAAGGCCATGCGTGATGAGGGTTCTGACAGCAGATTGACGCCTCCTTCGCCCTCTCACACCTGTGTGGCCTGGCACTGTGATGCATTGCAAGTCCTTCAGAGGCACCTGCAAGAAGCCAGCACAGGCACTATGAAACCCATCACACTCACACTAAACAGGATGCAACAGGATCCTTCCAAAATTCTTCAGCATACTCAGGAATTATCTTCATGACTTATTTTTAGTTATTTCCATTCAGACTCCTAATATAGTCCTTTATACCTTATTGTGTGAAGTGTGACAGTGAATCCAAGTTTGGAAAAGACATTTGAGAAAAGAGAGAATATGACTTTATACATCAAAAGTTTGAGGGAATATCGGTATTAATATTTAAGTAGTTAAGTACTCAGTTTAACAAGACATTTGGAACAAAGACCAAAAAATAGTGTAACTGATGCTCTTACTTAGTGATACTCTTACTTAGTGTATAGTTTACAATAGAAAAAGAAACTAATTGGCATTTTAAATTCTTGAGATAATTCTGAAATGAGCCATGGGTTTTGAATCATCATTGTCATCATTATGATGTTGACTGGCAGATGGGATTTATCAGGTGAAAAAATGGGTCCTGGGTTTTTATAATATGTCTGTGTCCACTTATAAAATGTGTTCTAATGAACGTCCTGTGGTCTGAACAATTTGACGACTACTTCGTCTCCACTTAGGAGGTGGCGAGAGTGTGAAAAGGGGCACACACTTTAGGAGAGTGTGAAAAGGGGCACACACTTTAGGAGAAGGGGCTGCAGAGGTCATCTCTCTTCTGAAACTCTCCCCTTATCCCAGACACTGAACTCTTTCTATGTTTAGAACACATACTATTTCCTTTGGCTGAAAAGCCTGCCTTTCTTGGTCTTTTCCTGATCTGCACCATTTTCCTACTTAGATCTTAATTTAAACGTCATTTCTTCAACAAAACAATTTTGACCACTACTGCATAACCTTAACCAGGTTTTATATTTTCTTTACTTCAATCCACTTTTTATTTTTTAATAATAATTTATGCAACTTACAATTCTTTTATACAATCATCTATGCTTTAATTTGCCTAAATTCACCAGAGTAAGACGCATTTCTAGTTTCCATTTATAACTAGCATTTATAACAGAGTAGAGTCAATAAATAATCTTTATTTCACTCAATAAATGAATAATGAAAACCACTGTACTGCCCATATGGGCTAATCTGCTCCCCCCTCCCCACACGCACACAGGATAATTGTTTTGTTGCCATTGAGAAAAGAAAAAAAAACAACAACAATTTTTTTCAGTGATTAGAGTAGCCCGCAGCCATTGGGCTTAGAATCTTTAATTACAACTTCAAATGTCCTATTTCGGTGTTTTTCATAGAGGTTATTTTCATGAGCAGAAGGGCGCTAGAGCCTTCAACACTAGTTTTACCTATCCCAAAAAAGAACTTAATTGTACTTCTTAAGTCACCCGAAAGACTACACAGCCAAACTAAGGCAATGCAATGCCTTACATACTATTAACACTCCTGTGTTGTAAATGTGTGTGTGTCTCTGTTAAACGCTGTTTTAAGTGAAGGTTCACCAGGAGTACCTATGAACCATTAACTTGTTAATATTGTATTCTGGTAATTGAGGCTTGTATACTTCCAAGGCACTGCTAATTCGTGGATGAAATCTTCTAATGAAGATGAGGTTCTATTGAATCTAGTTTTATTTGCTTCTCCTCCTCTAGAAACCAGCAATCAGCTTTCCATGTTTTTTTTTCTTAACGTTTTATTAGCGTTCATATTTGCTGTACAGTAGGACTCATTTTTCCAAGAGAGTTTATTACGTTTAAAGCAAAACAAGAATGAGAAATGAATTGCTGATTTCATTCTAAAAGAGAATAATAAAGAAGGAAATGTGTTGATAGTTGAAACTCAGTGTGGAATTATTCATTCTTTTTTGTGAGCATGGGTCTCTAAAGCAATTTTAGGTCCAAATAGCAGTATTGGGAGGAGGCATTCCAGGCACTGTGGATGTTTTCTAGGCCATTTGGCAGTGGCTTTCAAGAAAAGGCTGTTTTTGTGGACTTCAGCCTGGAGTGGTCCCTGGCAGAGGCAGCGGTGGCCTTGCTATGCATTTGACAGGTTGGCCCAGGGAGCCACACGATGGGGGAATGCAGATGAGGGGTGTGTGTGTCAGAGAAAGAGAGAGATGCTGATTTGGCCTGGCTTTCTGTTTTAATGTTCCCTGTCCCTACATTTATCAGCTTAGATTTCTAAGCATCTAGTTTTTCAAATAGGTGATAACAACAAAAACAATCAATCATGAGGGACACGCCACTGTAGCCTTTGAGCTACGTCCTTTAAGACATAATTGTTTCATAGGGGTTTGAATATTCTTCCTTCGAACACCTGGAGAAGTTTTTCCTTGAAGCCAAGTATGATGTAAAAGATTCCAACAGTCCAATATTCTACTTATCAGACACAAAAACAACTGAGAAACACTATTGTATATAATGTAGCTACTGTATGGTGGACTGTTATATTAGTCCATTTTCACGCTGCTGATAAAGACCTACCCAAGACTGGGAAGAAAAAGAGGTTGAAATGGACTTACAGTTCCACATGGCTGGGGTCGGGGGAGCTGAGAATCATGGTGGGAGGTGAAAGGCACTTCTTACATGGCGGCAGCAAGAGAAAATGAGAAAGAAGCAAAAGTGGAAACCCCTGATAAAAGCATCAGCTCTCGTGAGACTCATTCACTATCACGAGAATAGTATGAGATTGATTGGACCCTCTGATGCAATTACCTCCCCTGGGTCCCTCCCACATTCACAACATTTGGGAATTCTGGGAGATACAATTCAAGTTGAGATTTGGGTGGGGACACAGCCATACCACGTCAACTGCAAATTCCATTTTCACAAAATTGTGAGTTAAAAATATTTTTTATTTTGCAAACTTTATTAATAGCAATTGTGCTTATAAGGTTTATTGATCTATAGTAAATCTTTGTAGAGTGTCTCTAATCAACGCAGTAGTTCCATGGTATAATGTAGCTTTACCAGAAAGCAGCACTGGAACATTCATTCATTTTTTTATTTGTAATTACATATTTTTAAAGTAATAACATTTTTAATTGGCAAATTATAATTGTATACATTTATGGGGTAAAAGCATTCATTCTATAACTAGTAATTTATCTTGGATTTTCTGTATATAAAGCTTGTAAATATTGAGTTATAAAGATTACATCTCAAAAGATAGCACTGAGTTAATCAGAATACTCATTTTCAAACACTGTTTCTAATTTCATATTATCGATATACATTAGGTTGGTGTAAAGGCAATTGAGGTTTTTGCCATTGAAAGTAATGGCAAAAACCGCAATTACATTTTCACCAACCTAAAATACAGCTAATTCTCTATAATATTTAGGTGCATTATAAATAAAATGTAATAACTTTATTTGAACTTATGACAGTTTATTAAGTTTTATCATATAAATTACTTGATATTCACACTGATCTTGTTAATTAGGCAATACTCCTTTGTATCTGTTTTTTGTTTGTTTGTCTGCTTGCTTTTTATGAGACAGGATCCTGCTCTGTCACCCAGGCTGGAGTGCAGTGGTATGATCATAGCTCACTGCAGCATTCGACTCCTGGCCTTAAGCAGTCCTCCTGCCCCAGCCTCCCTAGTAACTGGGACCACAGGCATGAGTCACTGCTCCCAGCCTTTTACATCTTTAGATAGTAGGTAAAAGAGGTGATGTCTGGAGCTCTTAGGGAGCCCCCAAAGCTCTGTTAGTAATGAGCGACATAATCCAGTGGGTTTCTGGGTTTCAGAGGCTGCCCAGCGCTTCCCTCCAGGTGAAGTTTCCTCCTCTCCCGCTCTGGGAGGAATTTGTCTCACATAGTGTTCTTCCCACTTCTCGTCCCTGGGGGAGCCAATGCCAGGAATTATCTCAAGATGCTTTTGCCACTATGTGTCCTCTGATCTCGATTTTTCTTGTTCTCAATCATTTTTCTGCTGCGTCTCTGACTCTTGTTCAGAGACATATCATTGCATAAATGAAAATAATTAAAACCAAGGGATGCTGAAAGGTTAAATAAAGGATTTTTTTTAACCTGCTGACTATAGTCAGGGCTTAACCACAGGAAGCTGTTGTCAACTGCATAGTATGCTTACAATACTGAAAATATAAATAAATACACAGAAATCTATACAATCTGTGACTATTGAAAGATATGACATTTCATCACTGGCATTTATGAGTCTCTCCCTATTTTTTTTTTGTTGTTGTTTGGATTTCTGTAGTGTAAATAATGCTGCAATGAACATCTTTAAACATTCACCTTTTTCTGCTTAGAAATTATGCTCATAATAGAGATTTCTGTAAATGTATTACTAGGTTTAATATTACAACTGATTTTTTATGGCCCTATTCTAATGACTTTCCCAAACAGTTGTGGCAAATAATGTTGCCATCATTGAGTTACTGAAATGACTCACTAGCATTGCATATTGTTATTTATTTATTTGTGATGGAGTCTCACTGTGTCGCCAGGCTGGAGTGCAGTGGCGTGATCTCGGCTCACTGCAACCTTCTGCTCCTGGGTTTAAGCGATTCTTCTGCCTCAGCCTCCCAAGTAGCTGGGATTACAGGTGCCGGTCACCCCCCCTGGCTAATTTTTGTATTTTTAGTAGAGACAGGGTTTCACCATGTTGTTCAGGCTGGTCTCAATCTCTTGACCTTGTGATCCACCCGCTTCGGCCTCCCAAAATGCTGGGATTACAAGCATGAGCCACCGAGCCCAGCCTGCACATTGTCATTTTAAAGAGGCAACAATGCCATTTCATTAGTTTATTAAATAGGAGAAAGCTATGGATAATAACGAAACCTCATGGCTCTATGGAATGCTTAACATTTGGCAAATGTTAATGAAGACAAACTCCAAACAGCACTTACATTAATCTTGTGAACGCCAAGGCCACGCTGTAGGCCCACATATTGCGTTGCCTGGTTGCTGTCTTCCATATGTTCTCACATTATCTTTATGTTGATGTCCAATTGCTTTAATATAAAACACAGACTGATTCATATTCTGAGCCTTAGCTGCCTCTTAAATCTAATCCCTGAGTAATCCCGCATCAAGCTCTTTGTGTTCCCATCCCCTGTCTGCTGGCCCCTCTGCCCTGTCCTATCTTCTTTCTGGCCCACCTCTCTTTTTCTCAGGTCCTGAACACAGAAACAAAAAAGTCTAGAATTCTGGGAAACACCTGTCATAATAATATACTGTTTCCTTTTCCAGCATTTGTTTACAAGTTTCCAAACTACAGGCTCACTCCAATATTGTCAATGGTTAAGGAATTTACACATAAAATTGAAATTTCCATTTCACTTCATTCTCCACAGAAAAGGCCCCTCTGCAGAAGCTCGGAGACTTTATTTTATGACTTGATTTTCAGTTGATTGTGAGGACAGTGACCGGTGACCTCATGCTATTTTGAAACTCATTGTGTTGCCTGGCGCTGAGGGTTGGTTTCAGCAGAATTACATGGCAGGGCGGAGGTTCCCCCAGAACTGGTGCTGCATGGTGTGGCTTTGCTGCTGCATTAGGAGCAGGTTCCCAGTCTCATGGGAACTGCCTTTATGGACAAAGGTGTGCCTAAATATTCAAAGATGCTAGAGAGGGCTTCTACTGCATTGAGTACTCACGCCCTCTTCCCAGAGTGGGCGAGAGGCTCATTTAGCTTTAAAATTACAGTATCAGATGATACCTGATTTATGGATTAGTTAATTCTTACTCATTAATGAGTAAATGTTTAAACCACACAGACTGCAAACATTTATTATCTCTTGTCTTACCTGGAGTTTATTCTAGGGAACATAAAGACTGAATGATAAAGCACAATAAATCATGTTATAAAAAATTGTACTGATAGTAGTTGTCAGCTTAGGGATTATACAGTGTTTTTTTTTTTTTTTTTTTTTTTTTTTTAGAAAAAGACTAAAAAAACTGCAATGGATTTTCCTGTTATATTTGTATAGTTAAACCAAATAACGACATATTTTCCAGTTAGGAGTACTCAGACTGGTAGTATATTTCCTATTTAAAATAAAAGGGAATTATTAGGTATATGTTCACCCAACATTTTTTGTAGGCTCCTTTTATTATTACTTGCATTTCCTTTTTTTTGGGGCGGGGGACAGAGTCTTGCTCTGTCGCCCGGGCTGGAGCGCAGTGGCAAGATCTCGGCTCACTGCAAACTTCACCTCCCAGGTTCACGCCATTCTCCCGCCTCAGCCTCCTGAGTAGCTGGGACTACAGGCGCCCGCCACCACGCCAGGCTAACTTTTTGTATTTTTAGTAGAGACAGGATTTTACTGTGTTAGCCAGGATGGTCTTGATCTCCTGACCTCGTGATCCTCCCGCCTCGGCCTCCCAGAGTGCTGGGATTACAGGCGTGAGCCACCGCTCCCAGCCTGTATTACTTTCTTAAATAATTTACATCATATGCCTTTTTTCCAAGGTAAGCATTATAAAATTTACTTTTGGTATGTGCTACTTTCCTTTTAAAGTACACACTATTTATTAAATGCATATGGTTATGATTCTACTACTACTAATAATAATTATATTGGTCTGGATGGCAACTGACTACTTAGAAAATATACCTTATTAAACTTATCCAACAACTTCATCTCAAGCAGTCACATGTGATGACACTCCTGCAAATTCCGAAGTAATTTAACCTCACAAATATAAGCTTTATTTTGTCTGTTTGTTTCTTTCAGCCTATGAATTACAGAACTGTCCAGATCCACCCCCATTTCAGAATGGGTACATGATCAACTCGGATTACAGCGTGGGGCAATCAGTATCTTTCGAGTGTTATCCTGGGTACATTCTAATAGGCCATCCTGTCCTCACTTGTCAGCATGGGATCAACAGAAACTGGAACTACCCTTTTCCAAGATGTGATGGTAAGTTCATCACTTTGCATGGGGGCGATTTAATGTTTCATGGGCATAATAGCACATTAAATATTAAATGAACATATCCAGTAATTTATTAATGTATTCAATAAATATTCGTTGAGAATCTATTATGTTTTACTCACTCCACTTAGTATTTAAGGAATATGTCGCATGCTGTTAAGTTAGAAGTAAAGAAACAATCCTTGTTGCCAAGGAAATTATAAGGATGGCAAAATAGTAAACACAAGAGGAATGGTATACTGAGCTGCAGGGAAGGAGATGGCACAGGCTTGGGAAGCCATCAGGGAAATCTCCGCGAAGTCAGCAGCGTTCAGCTTTACAGTGGTTATATCAGATTGTAGGACCAGAGGGAAAAAGGGTACTTATTAATTTGATCCTTGGTGTTTCTTTTTGTTTAGCTTTTATAATAATTTCATATTGATTTTGCATTTCAGAAAAATGAGCTCATTTTTGTAGTGGGCCTTGAAAGGTACATAGCATTTTGCTACTCGGAGGTGGAACACTCCAGGTAGAAGAAACAGTGTAAGAAAGAGCGCAGTGTACAGGTAGCCATAGGAGAAAATAGTAGAGTGGTTTAATAGTGCAAGAGGGGCTCTACGGAGAGGCTGGAGGCAAGTTCTCGTTTGATGGTGCAACAGAGGACCTGGTCTCTTTAGACGTCCTTTTTCTGAGCAGGAATCCTTACTTTAATGCTTCTGTGTGACTGCCTCATTTTTATGATGACTTTGACATTTTTTCAATATCTAATTAAAATAAATAGATCCATACTATGTGTAGGAAGAATGCATATGCAATAGAAAATTTACTGTAAACCCGATATTCTCACACTATACATACAGGACCTTTGAATGAAAAAATAATGAAATTACCAACTCCGTGGACCTTTGAAATGCTAAGCACTTGTATCCTGTGGGGAAAAGGGGAAGACATCTGGCTGTGCTTTAATTTCTACTGAAGAAGTAAAAGAAGCATATCAGTAGGCTTTTAAAATCACAGTTTTTATCTGTATTTACCTATTCTGTATTATTATAAAAATAACTACAAACACACTTTGGGAGGCTGAGGTGGGCGGATCACAAGATCAGGAGATCAAGACCATCCTGGCTAACACGGTGAAACACCGTCTCTACTAAAAATACAAAAAAATTAGCTGGGCGTGGTGGTGGGCACCTGTAGTCCCAGCTACTCCAGAGGCTGAGGTGGGAGAATGGCGGGAACCCAGGAGGCTGAGGTTGCAGTGCCCTGAGATCGTGCCACTGCCCTCCAGCCTGGGCGAGAGAGTGAGACTCTGTCTCAAAATAAATAAATAAATAAAATAAAAAATAACTACAAACAATTCTTTAGCCACATTTTAAAAGTATTTTATCTTAATCTAATATTTATTTAATTACATATAAAATAGCACTTAAAATTAATTTTATAAAATAAGGATAGCAGTAACCTATCTGGGCTGTTTTTCATTAAAACATTTTTTAAATCTTTAAGTCTACTTTCCGTTCTAGAAACTCATATATATGTATAAATTCTTTTGAAATTATCAGGATTGAAACCTCTTCTTATTTGCAAGTTTGGTGTGAAGACTTTGAATTCATATGTAAATGGTAGACTCTGGCTTGATATTTAAAAAAAACTACAATTAAATATTTAATTTGATTTTATTGCTTTCTCAAGCTTTGTTTTTCAATATGGAAATAACTGCTCTGGCTTCGAATTATTTTGTCAGTGTGAAAATAACAAAATCTACCTTTTTTGATAGAATTTAAAGTGATGCCTGCCACCTTTCCTAATTCTAACATGGTATATAACACCATCTAGAATTAGCTAAACTCTGCATGAATTTAAAGCCTAAACCCCTTCAGACTCCCAAAACCAGCCTGAGGCTTCATTCTCCATTAGAAGAACTCAGAGACATCTCTAAAACTATCATGCTTGTCATTATGGTTTTAACAGGGAGGGGATATGTCAATATATTCCAGGGAAAAGACACATGTGGCAGAGTCCAGGAGGATGCCACATATCTCTCTGATCCATGCCAAGTTCTTTACTAAACAAACATTTTTACTATTATATTTCTATTTTTACCAGTACTCGTAAACCTAATAAAGAAACCGAAACGCACGATTCATGTAAAAGTTTATCATAAATATTGAAAACAATTAGAGGACCTATATAAAGGATTTTCTAAGAACCATCCAATGTGTGTTTAATATCCTTTTCATATTAAAAAAGGTGTTATTTAACGCAAAAGGTGCTTTACTTGTGAAAGTTTATATTTCTTAAAAAAGTCGTTGCTTCATAAGAATGCGGAGGCTGTTCAAACGCCTATTAGTTACAGTTATATGGCACTTCAGTCTTTCCCAGAGACAGCGGTAAACACTGCTGACAACCCAGTATCTTCATGTAACATGTATTTTATTAATTGACAGTGGTTTATCATTTCAGGTCAGTGATTGCTATATAGGTCAAGTGTACTGAAAAACCATCTTCAAAGGTCCAGCCCTGTAGACTTGAAAAGAACTTCAGAAAAAACACAGATACTTTAAACAACTTCTCGATGTCTTTATTAAAAATTGGCCAGTTTAGATAATTAATAAAATAATTCTAAATCCCAAGGCATCAGTCTTCACAAGTATATATGAAATCAATTTGTATTTATATACTGAAAATACATGTTAAGCTGCATAAGAATCTACTTTATGAAATTAATATAGTATAAATTTATCTGAAAAACTGTGATCTGAAATTATGATATCTATGAAAGTAAACAAATGAAAGAATATGTCTCTGAAAGTTATCTGAGAAATTGAAGACATTATTTTTCTGTCAGTAACATAATTACACAGAAGTCTCAGTTAAAAAATTAAAAAAAGGTGGGGGTTTTAGGCCGGGCACAGTGGCTCACGCCTGTAATCCCAACACTTTGGGAGACCGAGGTGGGTGGATCACCTGAGGTCAGGAGTTTGAGACAAGCCTGGCCAACATGGCAAAACCCCAACTCTACTAAAAATACAAAACTTAGCCAGGCGTGGTGGCAGGCACCTGTAATCCCAGCTACCTGGGAGGCTGAGGCAGGAGAATCACTTGAACGCAGAAGGCGGAGGTTGCAGTGAGCCAAGATAGCGCCATTGCACTCCAGCCTGGGTGACAAGAGCAAAACTCCATCTCAAAAAAAAAAAAGGGGGGGGGGGGATTGTAATTGTTAAAATATGATTAAGTAGAATTTGGTTTATTAACTTATTAAATGTAATTTTCTAATTAAATATGCATTCACACTTACAAATATAGTTCAACAATTTAAAATATTTTGCTGACCTAATTAATCATTTAACACTGAAATGTTTATGCATAAAAATATAATTTTAGGCATTAAATAAATCTTAAACACTATCATAATAAACTTGACTTAAATGCATTAGTATGTGTAGAGTGGGGAATTGCACAGACAGAGATAATTATTAGTGTAAATAATATGTTGTGATAGGTATGTTAACAGCTTCTTTGAATTTGACAGATTTTGTAAGCAGAAAACAATTTTATTGCAAAATTGACATGAGAAATGCAAGCAGCTAAACAATGTATTATTACATACATATTTTTTAAATTTAAGGTTTACCAAGCTGATTGGTAAATACAGAAAATAATCTTTCCCAATAATAGAGAATAAAAATAACTATAAAGAATGCAACTCTGTCTCCTTATTTTTCTTACCTGCATTCACAAATACAGTCTTTAAAATCTCCATTACCAACCGGCAATTTCCAAGACAGAGTGCGCTCTGGATTCTTCTCTGAAAATGCTTCTAAGGAAACCAGAGTAACAGAAGGAAGAAAAATGATGGCAGGAATAACTCTGGTTCTCTACACACTAGGGGAGATTAAACTTTCAGTATCTTCGATATATTGAGAGTCAAGATATTTTTATATTAATATATATATTATAACATATTTATTATATTTTTATATTCATATTTATGCCAAGTGTATTTATTAGCTTTTTAATATGGAATTTCTTTCATATTCTTGTTTAGGCAAAAAACTTAACATAATACTAGAGAAAACCATCTATAAATGATAAGTCTCTTAGCAAACGTTCAAGGTTTTAAAATTTAAATTATTTTGTTTTCACTTTATTTATTTATTTGAGATGGAGTCTCAGGCTGTTGCCCAGGCTGGAGTGCAGTGGTGCAATCACTGCTCACTGTAGCCTTGACCTGCCAGGCTCAAGCAATCCTCCTACTTCAGCCTCCCAAGTGGCTAGGACCACAGGCATGTGCTCGCATGCATGGATAATTAATGTTTTTTGTTTGTTTGTTTGTTTGTTTGTTTGTTTTAATAGATGGGATCTCCCTGTATTGCCCAGACTAGTCTCGAACTCCTGGGGTCAAATGATCCTCCTCCCTAAGCCTACCAAAGTGCTGGAATTACAGCTATGAGCCATAACAGCCAGCCTGTTTTAATTTTAATTTGATGTAATATCACTTAATATGCCTATCCATCTCTCTTCACAGAAAGTCACATTGCATAAAGAGAGGAAAAGGTAGCACAATAAAGAGATGTTTCCTTGTACCTCCGCCCTCCTGTGCCAAGGTGTGCCAACCCCCCAGTTGATTTTCTGGTATCTTCGAGCTGTGGCTTCACACCTGAGCAGGAGTCAGTCACATATACCCATAACTTTTGTGTGTGTGAATCACCAAAAGTACCCCCTTCCCACTTCTCAGGGATGTCAATGAACGAAGGGAAGCCTCCGTGGTATTTGAGGCAATGATAGAGAGTGGCGTTGTGGGGGAAGCCAGTGGCGCCAGGGTACCTGGGCATGTTTCCCATTGGGCGTGACATTCAAGTTAGACATCACCGCCATCACTTTCAACACAGCGACTGCTAGCTCTAGAATCGGATCAAAATATGTAGCTTTCTTATCTTTATGTGCTTATTCTTGGAAAAATACATGAGCAAATAGCTTGAGCAATTCCCTCCTTCACTGTCTTGCCCAGCAACGCTCTCTCCCACGTGAACATCCGGGTATTCATGAGCACGGAAATGCCTGCGCGTCTCTTTACTCCATGGCTCCTGAGAGTGGAGGGAGTGTAGCCTCTCTATCCCTTTCAGTTGCTGATGCCATGGTCAGCTGTCTGTCTTCCTGGTCCGGCTTGGACCAGTGTCTCCCAGGCAGACAGGTGAGGAGCTGGGAGGTACCTGCTGTGCTCCACGCAGAGCTTCCTCTTTGATCTCAGTCCAGACTCCACTTTGAACCCCGCCTTCAGGGAAAGGAAGGCAGGGGGGATACGCTTCCTGCCGAGACACGCACACTTCCTGCAGTGGCAGATCACAGGCCCCCGTCTCTGCGGAGCTCAGTGAGACGCCACCACTTGGGGAAATGCAAACGTGCCTTTGATGCCACTGCAGCGAGGATAAAGACGGTCTGGAAGTAGATAAAGATCAGGCCAGGGGAAATGAGAGAGGAAATTTTGACTCCAGATTCTTAGGGTCCTCTTTTTTTCTATCTCTGGACTACCCAGTGGGAGGGCAACAGGATTTTGCTTTGAGAGAATTTTGTGTGCTTATGGATAGAATATTGTTATCTTATGTGATGATGAGCGTCTGTTATTTTCCTTCACAGCACTTGCACCCGTTGAATTTTAAACTTCTGTAGTGTTTGCTTAATATCTCTCTTCATCACTATTCAATAAGCTTTTTACAAAGGCAGCAACAGGGTCTCTACGGTTCACTATGGCATCTCCATCCCAGGCACCCTTACTGGTACATAACCCACTCTCAGTAGATACTTGTTGAGTGAGTGAGTGAAAAGATTTGTTATTTGAATTTGATAGATAAATCATGGCAAGAATCACTGACTTGCTCAATGTTATAGAGGTATTCAGTGGCATAAATAATACTGGAATCAGGAATGTGTTCTACCAAGAAAATCACCACCTCATTTCTTTTGCCCTTTAAGAGGTGGGAACGATGGCTTTTTGTTTTGTTTTCCCAACAGGAAGGGTGCTACTATATATAATGTGGTTATGTAACTACAAGATTCAACTAGAAAAGCAGAAATGCAAAAGGGAAACCTTAGCATTGTAAGTCCACACTAAATTACTAGCACGGAGTCACCTGTAAAGGGTTTCAGCCTAATTGGTTTCATGAGTTCACTCTTAAAGTGCTCTCTGGTTATTCTCTAATTCACCAATTTATCAATTTGTTTATCATGACCTGAGCTAGACAGTAGGGACTCTTGAAAGGAGGTAGCAGCTGGGGTGGGAGGAGATGCAGACCCTGTCTGCTAGAGGCTGACAGTCTCGTGGGAGCCGTGTGCTCTGTGAGCAGAGCCTGGACCTCTAGAGCCGGAGCAAGCAGGAAAGACCTTAAGGAAGCGGTGACAAGGAGTTGAGTTTTAAAGGAAGAGACAAGTTTGCCTTGGCAGAAAAATAGAAGAAAAGCATGTGAACACTCCCTCGACGTCTGGAGGGGAGGAAAAGTGCACTGCCAACAGGAGACAAAAGTAGCTTGTTATGGGGACAGCATGGTTTATGGTCCCATTATTATTATTATTATTTTTAGAGACAGAGACTCTGTCACCCATGCTGGAGTGCAATGGCACAATCTCGGCTTACTACACCCTCTGCCTCCCAGATTGAAGCAATTCTCCTGCCTCAACCCCCCAAGTACTTGGGATTACAGGCGTGCACCACCACGCCTGGCTGATTTTTGTATTTTTAGTAGAGTTAGGGTTTCCCCATGTTGGTCAGGCTGGTCTCAAACTCCTGACCTCAGGTGATCCACCCACCTCAGTCTCCCAAAGTGCTGGGATTACAGAAGTGAGCCACCGTGCCCAGCCTATGGTCCCATTTTAGAGATGACAAGCTTCAGGAGTATCGCAGACCCTGACCTCATAGAATTTATAGAAGTGGAGGCTCCCAGGGATAATTTGCTTCTCCAGCTTACAAATCCAGGTTTGTCTGACTCCAAACCTCACTTAGTAATAATTACGCAGTAAAACTTCTAAAGTAGTCTCTACATACAGTCCCTTCTTCTGATGAAAAGATCCAAATCTCCAGCCAGGTTCAATCCAATGTTCTTTTCAAATCAATACACATCTGTGCAGTTCAACAGTGTATCATATCCCGCCTCATGGTATATTCTCATTTGTTACTAAACTTTTCTTTTTGTTTATCTGTTTGTGTATTTGGGCCTTTTTCCTCTACCTGAATTCTATACCATTTGTGGCAAATCTTTGACAGCCCTTCGAGGTTCAAGAGAGTTGTGAACACTCATCTCACACCTCTTAGCTGTTGGTTTGATTTCAGAGTTCAAAGTTTTATGACTTTGATGCACTATATGAATATTTAAATTAAAGACTATATTTCAGGTTATTCCATTAGTGTTTGGACATGTCATTTTCCATAAATAAAATAATTGCCATTAAAATAATAAATATAAATTTCTTAACAAAAATGAAAATAAATTGGGTATTGTTTTAGTTCTTCAAGTCATTGAACACTAGTAAAAACTGGAAATGCTTCCGCAAAACACCACTTACATAATCTTACATTGCATTATCTTACTTCTTCAGGTATAGATCTGTAAAGAATTGATAATGTCTTTGTTTTAAGGCAAGTAGACTTAGATGACACTCTTTCAGATGGCTTATAAATAGGGTCTAGCAGTGTGAGTTAGAAAAAGCAGTTACATATTTATGAATACTTTCCCCATAATTCATTGTGCTGGACACTCAGATGGGTTATCAGCAGGTCACAAGTGTTAACTAAGGATTTTATTTGAGGCATAGAAGAATAAATTTATCCTAAAGGGATTTTGAAGATATGGAGAATATATTAAATAAAACTGAGATAATTTAGCTTAGACGTATAATTCTTCTAAGGTCTTCAGATTTTAGGGCAGTAATTTTGACAAAATGGTGATTCAGAAATATTTCACACCTATTTCCCATCAGGAAAAATGTTGGCTAAGGTACTTTGGAGTCAAATATTTAGCTTTCTACTCTCTAAAATCAGCTGTATGGCGCTTGTTTTTTCTTGGTTTCCTTTGCAGCCCCTTGTGGGTACAACGTAACTTCTCAGAACGGCACCATCTACTCCCCTGGCTTTCCTGATGAGTATCCGATCCTGAAGGACTGCATTTGGCTCATCACGGTGCCTCCAGGGCACGGAGTTTACATCAACTTCACCCTGTTACAGACGGAAGCTGTCAACGATTACATTGCTGTTTGGTATGAGAACCTCTCAAGTCAAAATATCTGTAATTGTGATCAACAATTCTGACTTAGCATACATATGCCACTTATATACAAGGCACATATTTAGAATAAACTTCTTAGATACTAGAGAAGAAATTCACCAACGAAATCCAGAGATATAGGGAATCAATTTCACATAGTACATGTGGGTTTTGCTACATGGTAGAAATAGGCAGAATTATGTCTGTGTGTCTGCATCTGTGTGTGTATGTATTGGATGTGTGTTTGTGGGTGTGGGTTGGGTTGGGTATGGGTGTGTGATGTGTGTCTCTGTGGGTGTGTCTGTGTGGTGTGTGTGGCTTGTGTATGTCTGTGTGGCTTACGTGTGTGTTTGTGTGTGTGGTGTCTGTGTGTGTGTTGTGTATGTTGTGTGTGTGTGTGCGTGTTGTGTGTGGTGTGGCTGCACTCTTGTTGGAGCCCACAGGGGGAGCAGGAGCAGAAGCCAGCAGCCAGGGCAAGTAAGGCAGGACCTGGAAATGCATGTGAAGGCCTTGGGCTTTGTTCTTGGGGCAGTGAGGATGCACCTGGGCTCTGACAGGCAGAGCTCCAAGGCCAGATATGGGCTGCAGAATGACGGGCTCATTTTGTGGGAAATAAAGTAGCAGAGGGCAAGAAAGGAGACTGGCTTTGAGGTTGTGGAAGTAAATCAGACATCTAAGATGACAACGACCAGAGTCAGTGGATGTGAGAGTGAGGAGAAACAGAATTTGAAATATTAGGTTGACCACAATGAAACTGCCGTTTTAAAACCAAAACAAAACAGCATTCTGTGGTTGGCCATGCCCCATAGATTAAGCTCCATATTTAGAATGGAAAATCTCACAGGTGTTGACATTTTTATTTTATTTTTTTAATTTATTTCTTTTTGAGACAGAGTCTTGCCCTGTCGCACAGCTGGAGTGCAGTGGCGCGATCTTGGCTCACTGGAACCAGCGCCTCCTGGGTTCAAGCAATTCTCCTGCCTTAGCCTGCCGAGTAGCTGGGACTACAAGTGCGTGCCACCAGGCCCAGCTAATTTTTGTAATTTTAGTAGAGACAGGGTTTCACCATGTTGGCCAGGCTGGTCTCAAACTCCTGACCTCAGGTGATCTGCCTGCCTTGGCCTCCCAAAGTGCTGGGATGACAGGCATGAGCCACCAGCACCGGTGAGTGTTGACATTTGACAAGTGCCGAGTGCCTGTGGAACATTAATGAAAGACAGAGACTGGAGGGTTCCTCAACTTTGTGGACATTCAACATCTTGATGTTTACAAACACAGTATCCTGAGAATGCATATGTTTTATTGCTTTTATTAAAAAAATTAATTCATTAGCCAAAGTTTCCATAAATCTCACTCAGAAGTAAATATCCTTAGCCAGCCACCTCTTTCTGTCTTTCCTAGGGACGGTCCCGATCAGAACTCACCCCAGCTGGGAGTTTTCAGTGGCAACACAGCCCTCGAAACGGCGTATAGCTCCACCAACCAAGTCCTGCTCAAGTTCCACAGCGACTTTTCAAATGGAGGCTTCTTTGTCCTCAATTTCCACGGTCAGTTGATTTTCACTCCGTTAGTTAAGACTGAGAATTCCATGTGGTGTTTCCTGCAGTGTTGTCCCACGCCTTGTTTCCAGCTGAAGTTTCTTGATTCAGCCGAGGGCGTGTATGATTCTTTTGCACTGGAGGCCAGCGTTTCCTGTGGTCCTTTTTTTGTTTAATGATGTCTTTATTATTTCACATCGTATCCAGCTTGGATTTATTCCAAGATACATGTATCCTAAGTGAAACTCTAAGATGAAGACCATTGAAAGAGATTTGGTACCTTTTATAGATTTACTCATCCCTGTCTCAAGATAAGGTGTTATAGCAAATGTCATGTAACTATAAATGGTGTGAAAGCAAACCTCCAATAATCCTGGGAATGCACTCTAAACGATATGTAGAACATCTGTCAATCAATCGCTTATCTCTCACGAACACTGCCACCTACAGAATTCCTCAGGACACGGGACAGGGCAGACGTTATCAAATCTGCACATGGACAGGGAGCCAGGTTGTGACTGTTGAGTCATTCTTGCAGAATTCCAAACATCTGTAAAGTGTGTTTATTTAAATGGTATACTTTAAAAAATAATTGTACACTTTTTTCCTTGGGCTTTAACTGTTTTTTGGCACTAAATAATAATATGAACATTTGAAGCTTGGGAATTTTATAAAGCTATGATTCAGGAATAGAGACATTTCAGTCCGTGTACTTAAGCATTATAACAACTGCAAGATGAATGTTTTGTAATAGTTGTGTTTATTCAGCAAGTGTAATTGCAATTATTATTATTCTTTCCATTAATCATTTAGCATTTCAGCTCAAGAAATGTCAACCTCCCCCAGCGGTTCCACAGGCAGAAATGCTTACTGAGGATGATGATTTCGAAATAGGTAATACTTTCTTCATTACAATACCATGAATTCAGCACGACATTTTTTTACACCCACTTCTCATTGTAATCATTACTCAGACAAGTTAATGAGTAATTTGTCAGAGAAACAAAAACAGAAACAAAGAACAAACTATCCTTAAAGTATTGCTGAGAACTTATACGGAGGTCATGTATCAAATAGAAAATGTCTGTCCCTCTTCATTACCATGATTTTTTTTTGTTTTGCCATTTGAATTTTGATGTCAGTTTGAACATTTTTTTCCTCTACAACATTTGGTAGTTCATAGTTTTTAATAAAGTATTCAGAGACAGACTTGGGCAGATATTTGCTTTCAGTTAGGGGGACACATTCATGCACTTGAGAAAAATCTGAATCATTTGCGGCTGAAAGGATGATTACATAACAGTGACATTTCATTGAAACTGGGATATAATAAGAGAAAATATTTAGTGATGATATTTAGGATTTCTGCTGTATCTTTTTACATTAATGATCTAATTTATTCAATACTCTTCTGGTCATACTGAGAAAGCAGTGATGGCATATGTTTATGGTATAGTTATTGCAACCCAGGATTTTTCAGCCCCAGTTATAAAACTCTGCCCTGTGTTTCAGACCACTGGTCAAACTACGTGACCCAATTTCTGCTGTCCTCACCCTGGCTTAGTTAATTGGAACATTGTGCTAAGTACCAAGGTCAGAGATGAGTCTCTGTGGATGCTGTAAAGCCATTTGATTTTACAGTCTTGCTTAAACCATAGCTTCTACTTTACTTTTTTTTTCTTTTCGTCAGCAATCACTGGGGAAGGGAAACCAACACGGATGCCTCAGTCAAGGAAGAAAAGCTGCCACATCATTTCAGTACTAATATCGGCTAAGCTTAATAGAGCATTTTTATAAATTAAGAACTTAAAACGGTATTATTTTTAAAAGACTAAAAATAAATACAGACATAGTTTCTAAAAAGATTTGCAAGTTGATTTAATTCATTTAAGTAGTCCTACATGTGTCACACCTTCACACACTCAGAAGGTCACACACAATTTCCTGGTTTGTTGCATTGACTCTTCTAGGAGATTTTGTGAAGTACCAGTGCCACCCCGGGTACACCTTGGTGGGGACCGACATTCTGACTTGCAAGCTCAGTTCCCAGTTGCAGTTTGAGGGTTCTCTCCCAACATGTGAAGGTATGCACTGTTCGATACTAAAACTACATAAACTTATTCAACATGGAAAATTGTATTGTTTGTATTGGTCTGCATTTCTTTGTATAGATGTGAACTTATTTATTTGTTTATTATTTATTTATTTATCTTGGAGATAGGGTCTTACTCTGTCACCCAGGTGGGAGTACAGTGGTGCAATCATGGCTCACCACAGCCTCAACCTCCCTGGTCTCAGGTGATCCTCCTGCCTCAGCCTCCTGAGTAACTGGGACTACATGCATGCACCACCATGCCTGGCTAATTTTTGGATTTTTTTTTTTTTTTTTGTAGAAATGGGTTTTCAACATGTTACCCAGGCTGGTCTTGAACTTCTGGACTCGAGCTATCTACCTGCCTCAGCTTCCCAGATTGCTAGGATTGCAGGCATGAGCCACTGTACCCAGCCTGCACTTAATCTGTGCTCTGATCCCATTGCAATGAAACTAACATGCTAACAGAAATATCTAATGATGCTTTTTCTTTTATCTAGTCCTAGAAAATAAACCAAGGCCATATCAAATAAGAAATCATGTTTCTCACAGCAATTTATCATGTAAATGTTCAAACATGGCAAAGTTGAAATAATTTTAATACCTGAATAATGTAACACCTGAATATATACCACCTAGCTTCCGCTATGAAAACTTACAAAGTATTTCCTTTATCACATGCCTATCTGTTATCTTTCTAGCCATTTATTAAGCTACGCTATATTTTTGATGCATTTCAAGGCAAATTTTGAATATCATTTCGTTTTGCTATAAATACCTCAGCATGCATATAATTAGCTGGTGTTTAATATTTTGATGTAAATTTATAAAAAATGAAACATGCACATCTCAAGTTTTTCTCACATATGTTTAACATATGTAGACCATGTGCAAGAGTATAGACAATATACAATAATAGAACAAGATACTGAGGCTGAATCTGTTGATTTAATCTATTAGAAGACAAGTAGATTACTTTTAAAATATTAATAGACACCACTTTCAAGTATCATTGAATGAAAAAGGCTTGAAAAACTTTACATAAGCTCAAATGCTCAAGTAAGTCGAAACATCATTAGTTCACCTATCCAAAAGCTTTCCTAATTAGAATAGTTTTTATGACTTCAAAATCATAGTGAAGTGCAGATGTAGTGCTTTTGAGCATTGTGGCTCTTTCAAGGAATCCAACTATTGTCATTCCTTAGGGTGAGTGACACAGCTATAAGGGCCCACGATTTAGGAAGACAGGACCCGGAGCCAGAGTCACCCCATCAGGCAGCTTTGAGCAAGTCACTCTTCCCTGCACTGTGCACACAGAGGATGATTTATCCGCTTTATTTTTGAGATTGTTGTAAAGACTCACCGAGTATTAAATGAATTTATCTTTTTGAGTGTTTTATAATGTTAACTGCCTTCCCTGTAAATGGAAGTTTTCTTTGCAAAAGTATCGACTTCGCAGTGGTTTTGCAGATGCTCACACCTGTGCATGGATCCTCTTCAAAGGTCTGATAACTGGCCGGGCGCGGTGGCGCACGCCTGTAATCCCAGCATTCTGTGAGGCCGAGGTGGGTGGATCACCTGAGGCTGGGAGGTCGAGACCAGCCTGACCAACAGGGAGAAACCTGTCTCTACTGAAAATACAAAATTAACTGGGCGTGGTGGCGCATGCCTGTAATGCCAGCTACTCAGGTGGCTGAGTCAGGAGAATTGCTTGAACCCAGGAGGTGGAGGTTGCAGTGAGCCGAGATCTTGCCATTGCTCTCCAGCCTGGGAGACACAGCAAAACTCTGTCTCAAAAAAAAAAAAAAAGAAAAGAAAAAAAAAAGTCTGATAACTTTGTGCATTCTCATTCTGGAATGAGGCAGGATTCCAGGCACCCTGAAAGAGAGAAACAGTCTTCTACATCTGAAGAAAAATTGGCATACATTTTGGAATGAATTATTATCAGATATCCATAATAACTTAGATTTTTTTTTTGAAAAAATATTAACATTGAAGTTGTATCTACATGAGAACTATTGATTACAGGAAACCGCTACCTGAGCAGAGGGCCAGACCCTTGGCCTGCTCGTCTGTTTAAACGCTAAGCAGACCGTAGGCTGTGGAAGTCATCAAAATCTGTGCCTCTAGGTTGCCTTACTTAGAAGTGGGGATTGCATTGGGTGCAAAGTCAGGAGATCCAAGTCACTGTCTTCTTAGAAGAAAGCCAACGTCTGTGCCATCTTCCAGGAGCAACAATGGTCTATTTATGGATTCTTTCCTCAAGGTGGGGGGATATAAAAAGTGTTCATCTTCTGCCATTCTATATGGAAATGAACCCAGGCAAACCTTCACATTTTTAAGGTACATTTTAATCCCAACAAACAAAGCCTCAAGTTTCTCAGAATAGAAGACTTTAACTAAAGGTGATCTTAGCTGAGAAGAGAAGAAAGGCATACGTATGTATCAAATGTGCTGCTCTAAAAACAGGGAATTTTGGTCAGGGACAGTGGCTCATGCCTGTAATCCCAGAACTTTGGGAGGCCGAGGTGGGCAGATCACCTGAGGTTAGGAGTTCAAGACCACCGTGACCAACATGAAGAAACCCCGTGTCTACTGAAAATACAAAATTAGCTGCGTGTGGTGGCACGTGCCTGTAATCCCAGCTACTTGGGAGGCTGAGGCAGGAGAATCACTGGAACCTGGGAGGCAGAGGTTGCAGTGAGCCAAGATTGTGCCATTGCACTCCAGCCTGGGCAACAAGAGCAAAACTACATCATTTTTTTTTTTTAAAAAAAAAAGGAATTTGATTAGGGTGTCCTCTCCAGATGAACCAAGTTCTTATTTAAATGACGTTTAATTCATGACAAGCCAAGAGCAGAGAATAATCACGCACTGCATGACGTTTTGAACCGTGACAGACCGTGTAGATAAATGTGGTCCTGTAAGATTATAATGAAGCTGAAAATTCCTACCACCGAGTGACGTCTAGCAGTTGCAGTACTACGGGGCCACGCATTACCTTTTCAATGTTGAGATGAGTTCAGATGTGAGAATGCTTACCCTTGTGTTCCAGTTGCCTACAGTCTTCAGTACAGTCTCATACTGTGCAGGTGTGTGGTTTGGGAGCAATAGGCTACACCATATGGCTTAATTGTGTAGCAGGCTGTACCATCTGGGTGTGTTTAAGTGTTCCTGGACCAAACTGAAGGTGGGGCTGCTATTTTTCATGTCCCAATAACGAGATGCAGATAAACTGAGGAGGAAGAGAGTTTTTATTTCTATAACTGGTTACAGGGAGAAGGCCTGGAAATTATCGCCAGACCAACTCAAAATTACAAAGTTTTTTAGAGCTTATGTACCTCCTTAGCTATATGTCTATGTGTAAGTGTGTATTTATTTAAAGACATAAGTGATTAACTTTTTAAAATCTACAGCTAAGGTCTGAGTGCTGAAGACCTTCCTCTGGAGCCTCAGTAAGTTTACTGAATCTAAATGGGTCCAGGTGCTGGGGTGATTAGTCTTGTTTTGTCTCCCGCTAAATCACAAAGGTTTGGGGAGCTCCTTTAGACCCCAATAAACTTGTTTGTGGAGGCCTGGGGAGTTTCTTCAGACCGCTAATAAAACTCGTTGAATTCTAAAAGGGTCCTCCTGTTAAGAATTCTTTTGTTATCTTGTCATGCTTCAAGGCCCAGGAGAAGCCTAGGGAAAACTCTTTGTTACCTTCCAGGCTTTGTATAAAGGCGCTGGCTCTTACAGCTTTTAATATTTAACGGAAACACTCCGTTCCAGGCTTTGTATAAAGGCGCTGGCTCTTTCAGCTTTTAATATGTAACTGAAACACTCCGTTAGTATGGAAACAGTTGTTATGGAGGCCTGCATTGGTGAGAGTGGCCTCCCTCAGAAGTGCATGCTGTTATCTTTGCATGATGACATGATCCCCTAAAGATGCATTTCTCCCAGCCTGTCCCCATCTTTAAGTGGCACATGTCTAAATCAACACAACATGAGCGTTATTCTCTAAATTTCCTCATTTGTCACAGACAGTTACAGGGAGCATTCTGCAGACAAAATTTGCCGACTTTTACTCACGCTGAAGTTTCCCAAGCCCCACTCCACACCTCAGGAGGCGAACAGGATAACCTAGTTCTCTTCTCTTTCAAGTCACGAGTCAATTTGTTTAAAACAACCGGAGAGTGATCTTAGCTGTCATTCTCTAAACAACTCATCATTTGAAAACAAACAGGAAATAAGACCCTAGATGTCTTTTACCAAATCCTTAATCACTGAATCACTTAATTATCATCTTTCTTTAAGTACTTTTCTACTATTTGATTGATTCGATTGTGCTCAAGTGGGGGCCCATCTCCCAATAAATTCTTCAGAAAAATTACGTTAGCTATTAGTCTGTCTTCTTCAAATGTCATAACCACACTTTTAGAAGTTGTGCTTTGAAACTTATCACCATCCCAGCACTTTTGGAGGCCGAGGTGGGAGGATCACCTGAGGTCAGGAGTTCGACACCAGCCTGGCCAACATGGTGAAACGCTGTCTCTACTAAAAATACAAAAATTAGCCAGATGTGGTGGCAGACATCTGTAATCCCAGCTGCTCTGGAGGCTGAGGCTGGAGAATTGCTTGAACCCCGCATGTGGAGGTTGCAGTGAGCTGAGATCACGTCACTGCACTCCAGCCTGAGCGACAGAGCAAGACTCTGTCTAAAAAAAAAAAAAAAAAAAAAGAAAAAGAAAGAAACAAAATTATCACCAATTTTAGGGAAACAAGGAGAGTGCATTGTTCTTTGAAAGTCAGGATTGGTCGGATGCGGTGGCTCATGCCTATAATCCTATTACTTTGGGAGGCTGAGGGGAGCGGATCACAAGGTCAGGAGATCGAGACCATCCTGGGTAACATGGTGAAAACCTATCTCTACTAAAAATACAAAAAAAAATTAGCCAGGCATGGTTGTGGGCCCCTGTAGTCCCAGCTACTCCGGAGGCTGAGGCAGGAGAATGGTGTGAACCCCGGAGGTGGAGCTTGCAGTGAGCTGAGATCGTGTCATTGCACTCCAGCCTGGGCGTCAGAGCGAGACTCCGTCTCAAAAAAAAAGTAGTCAGCCTTATATGGAGATATTACTGTGCTAGACACTCATCTTAATGTAGAAAAACCTGAGTAAGAGACATCACAGAAGTGGCTTTTCTCCTGTTAAGGAAAGAGAGGCATTTCAAAAAGTGAAGAGAATTAATAACAAAGGTTTGGAAACACAAAGGAGGGTGTGGCGTTGAGGAAAAAGGAGGAGATGGCTTCCTACTGCTTGCTCTCAGGGTGTTTTGGGGGAAGAGGTGGTAAATTAAATCAGGCTGGAAAGCTAGACTAGGACCTGACTTTAAAGGTCTTCAACGTCAGGTTTCTTCATCCTGTGGACCTTGGGGGATCCTTCAATAGTTTTTAGAATATTCATTTCTTTAGAAAAAAAAAAAAAAAACACCATACGTATTCAGTGAACATTAAGGAGATTCAGTGACCTTCTGATAATGATCATTCGAAAGCAGCAGATGGAGGCGACATAAAAACCGCCGCTGCCCAGCTCCAGCTTCCTTCTATATGTGCTGGATAATAGCAGGCATCACAAGGGCTCTGGGGCAGCCTTTTCCCTAGTTCACAGAGGGCTCACCTTCTCCAATTCTGTCATACCTATAGGTGCTTTTAAGAATAATCTTAGTTACTCATAAATCCCAATTTATGCTATTAATCCTAGAGTACTAATCCTCATCTGCTATTAGTTTTGCTGAAGGCCTATGAGATGCGTTGAATAAGATGCTTTGGGTTTTAAGCCTCACATTTTATTTTTCTTTAAAAACAATCTGGGGCACTAACATTGTGCAGAAGGATCATAACTCGAGGCGCAGGTGATGTCTGAGAGAGGCAAGCTTTCACGTGTGTTTTTGACAGGTGCTCCCCTATGGTGAGAGGTTTCCCAGATTCCCAAGTGGAGACACAGTTGTTTTCTAATGTGTGATTGCTGCTAAGAAATAAACATCTCAGCTATAGGACCGCACTGCGGTCCCTTTCAGCTCTCCCACTCCAACTGAGTATTGCTCTAAGCAACAGTTTATAACACTGAGGAGAAGGAGTGGTTCCATATGAAAGAGCAGAAGAAACACAAGAAAACAAATCACTTTCGCTCATGGGTAAACACCTCCAAATGCTTCTTAGGCCGAGCATGGTGGAGGTTGAGGTGGAAGGATTGCTTGAGCCCAGGAGTTGGAGACCAGCCTGGGCAAAATGGCAAAACAACATTTCTAAAATAAAAATACAAAAATTAGCCAGGAGGGGTGGTGTGCGCCTGTAGTCCCAGCTACTCGGGCAGCTGAGGTGGGAGGATTGTTTGAGCCTGGGAGGTCAAGGCTGCAGTGAGCCGTGATCCTGCCACTGCCCTCCAGCCTGGCTTGGGTGACAGAGTGAGACCCTATCTCAAACAAACAAACAAGTTAAAAAACAAAACCAAACCTCAAAACACCAAAAAACCCCACATGAATTTTGAAAACAATATGTATGACTGAAAAAAGTATTGCTAAGTATTTTAAGAAAAATGATACAAATGATAAATGATACAAATGAAAAATGGTACAAATTCTCTACAAATTATCTGCTACCTCTTTGGTTGGAGAGAATTGTAGAAACTGAGAGTCCTCTGTAAACTAGTGGGAATTATATAACAAGTTGTTTATATTTTCATTTTGTCTTTCCTAAGAAACAAAATCAGCATTTCAAATATGAAAGGAATAAGAATGGCTATGCTTAAAATGCTGCTTCTGGGTTAGATCATTGCACTGCTGTCAAACCCCAGGATGTGCGAATAGGTTTTCAGGTGGATTTTAGCAACTCAGTAAAGGTTTCTTACTTCCAGATGGCCTGAAGTTCCAATGTCAACTGATAACTATAGCTGCAGTTATAAAATCTCAGTCCTCATAAAAATGCAGGGTAGAGAGATTGGCTAACTGTTTTTCAAGTGTAATCCCACAAAATGAAACGCCCTCTGGTAGCATTTTTTTGTTAGTATAAGGTCAGCCTAGAGAAGGATGAATAGACCCAAAGTCAGGTGAATAAGTTTATTGAACCTGCCATCTGCTCCACCACAGACAGAAGAGGCAGCCCTGAGCTTACAAAATGAGGGGTTTATATGGGGGAGAGGGACCCTGGGGTTGTTTGTTGGTTAACTTTGCCATATATTATCTTGTGACGTTTATGGCAGTAGCTAGATGAAGGAACTTACAGGAGGGTGTAGGTAAAGTTTATTTATGCTTCCCACGACCTCCCTCTGTGTGGTCTGGATGGTTTGTAATTGCGGTTTGCTTATTGTAGTAAGGTCTGATGAGTGAAGTCTGCTGGCTTCACTGCAGCGCTTGGATAAGGCTTAGAAATGTAAAGAGGCTTGGGGGAAGGGTGAACGGCACGGAGAAGAGTTGCAGGGCATTAAGGGGAGAGGTGGGCAGTACAGAGGGGTTTGGGGGGAGTGTCGGCAGTACCGAGAAGCTTTTTGGGGCGGTTGGTCCCTAACAGTTATGAAAAGGTAGGCATGTGGTGTAATCATCCCTAGTCCTTACAACAGTTTCTGCCCACATAGTGCTTTAGATTTAAAAAAAAAAAAATTGTGTATATTGGCTCTAATTAAAACCCTGAGGGGGAGCTATTATTACTCTGTACTTACACGTCAGAGCCAAGGAAAGCCCTGGTTGTTATTGCAAAGTCAAGGCGGGTCTGTGGAGCTTCTAAAACTTGAGGTCCTAGCCTGCACAGATATACACAGGCACGGACCCTAATTTCATTATTTTTTCTTTCTTAAAATATCACATTAACTTTGAATGGGCATCGTGTATTTTACAAAGCGATGAGGTCACCATCACAGAAGAAAATTAGACCTTTAACTCAGTTGTTTCAATCTGTGTGTTCTGATTAGGATTATTTTAGTTTATATTATTGCCATTAATTTATCATTGTAAGTATTTTTAAAATCTCACCTAAAATATATGTTATTTAAAGAGTTCTATGAAATGTTTTATGATTGGTGGTCTTATGTCTAAACATTTTCTAAATTTTAAAATATATGTTAATTAGAATGCTAAGATAAATGGAAGAAAATAGGAAATAAATTACTTTTCAAAAGGCAGTTACTTGAATAAAAACACATATCATAAGCTTCGCTCATCTGTTTGAAAAGCTTCTATCTTGAAATGTATGTATAAATAGCACACATTTAACTAATTAAAAGGCGATAACTCAATAAATAAATTTAACAAAAGCTCTTTTTCATTAAGGAAAAGGTGATTAACTATAGAACTCTTAACACTCTACAAGTAATTTTGATATACATTTTTTATTTTTGAACCATTACCAGTAATAGAAAAAAATTTCCCTTAATAGTTTTATACACAAACTGTTTCTGGAAGATAATTCAGTGATGAGAGAAATTACTAATTAGGAGACTCTAGTGTTTTGCTTTGCATGTCCAGATCTCTGCAGATTGTTTTTATGTTGATTAAACTGGAAGTAGTTGAATAATAATTTTTCAAAAAGCAAGAGGAGAAAAGATACGATGTATCCATAGTATCTTCATGATACATTTACAATTAATTCATCCCTTAGGAATCAGGGCTCCTGCTGAGATGTCCCATGTGGGATTGAGACCAGGTCTCTAATTCTTCCTCTTCCCAGGGTCCCGAGCAATCACATCGAACGTTTAAATATTACTATGCTAAGTACAGTAGTTCCCCCCACCCCCGATCCGAGGTTTTCCATTCTGCAATTTCAGTTACCTGTGATCAAGCACAGTCTGAAAATATTAAATGAAAAATTCCAGAAATAACAACACATTTAAAATTTTGCACTGTTCTGAATAGCCTGATGAAATCTGTCATCATCCCCGGGCTATGTCTCACCCAGGACATGAATCCCAGCTTTGTCCAGTATATCCATTGCCCTGTATGATGTGATTGCACCAGAAACGACGTAGGATTCTGGACCATCTGCAGCATCAGGCATCACTAGGGCTCTTGGAATGTATCCCCAGGGGTAAGGGGGCCTACTGTATATTTAAAGCCAAAATAAATATGAGTTTTCTTTTCTTATTGCATAACATTTCACTGTATTTCTGTAATACTCTTTTGAAATGGTGAGGTTCTTCTTTGTAGTAGAGTTAGGAAATCTTGCATTGTATGATGAAATCCAGGATGCATCTGCCCCAAATTAAGGTGTGTGGGAGATGCAGGGGCCAAAGGAGTGTGCAGGCTGAGTGTAGAGAACTGCAAAGAGAAAGATGCACAATTCTCATGATTATTCAATGTTGCCCTCCCTCTGTGTTTGCATTCGGTATTAAATTTGGCCAGAGCTCAATAAGATTGCTTTTTCCTTTCATTGACTTGTTTATACAGGGATAGAAACTATCCTATTGCAGTTGGAATCATTTTATTAAAGCAAACTTTTGCTGGTACTTTTCTCTCCAGCACAATGCCCAGCAAATGAAGTCCGGACTGGATCATCGGGAGTCATTCTCAGTCCAGGGTATCCGGGTAATTATTTTAACTCCCAGACTTGCTCTTGGAGTATTAAAGTGGAACCAAACTACAACATTACCATCTTTGTGGACACATTTCAAAGTGAAAAGCAGTTTGATGCACTGGAAGTGTTTGATGGTAAGTTTCTTTAATCTTTGTAGAGCAGTGACCTCGGCATCATTGATAAAAACACTATTACAATGTTTTAGTAACATAAAGACTGGAATATATTCTTGAGTTAACTTATGTTTTCCCAAAGCAAACAAAAAATAAACTAGTTTGGGGTTATGCATTCTCAAGAGATCAAGCAGTCTGTAAAACATTACCATATGATTGTTGTACTGTATTAGTCCATTTTCATGCTGCTGATAAAGACAGACCCAAGACTAGGAAGAAAAAGAGATTTAATGGATTTACAGTTCCAGATGGCTGGGGAGACCTCACAATCATGGAGGAAGGCAAGGAGGAGCAAGTCACATTTTACATGGATGACGGCAGGCATGAGAGACAGAGAGAGAGAAAGAGTGGGTGCACGCACATGAGAGAGAACTTGTGCAGGGAAAAATCCCATTTTTAAAACCATCAGATCTTGTGGGACTTACTATCAGGAGAACAGCATGGGAAAGACCCACCCACATGATTCAATTACCTCCCACCAGATTTGTCCCACGATAGGTGGGAATTGTGGGATTTACAATTCAAGAAGAGATTTGGGAGGGGACACAGCCAAACCATAGGATTGTTAACATTGTCACTTTTCAAACAGTTAGAATGCTTAGGAATACACCCTGAAAGTGTACCAAATTTTCTTTAACCATTATTTGATTTTTTTAACACAGTGATTTAGAGAAGATGATCTCAATAACTCTTTCTCTCTCTCCTATATGTAATATCAATTCACAAGATATTTTAGGAAACTTAGGCCTAGAGGTATTTTTGTCATCTAAATAATTATTTTACTGGAAATATGTAAAAATCATGGCTCACAGAGATTTCTAGATGATAAATGCTACAGGAGTTTTTCAAGTGTGATTCTTTGAAATAGTGAAATATGGTTAACTGAACACGTGCAATACTGTTTTCAACAATAGTCTTATGATTTTTTTGCAATTTCAATGAAAATTTTAACAGTGATATGATTAAAAGTAATATGTGGTTGAATCGTCAATTTGAAATGGAAGGAATGTTAATATTTCTCTTTGTGTGAAACCGTCATAGCCCAGAAAATTAGACCAGTTACAATTATGGCTGTACATAATAACAGGGTTTTCACATATTTTGAAAGATTTGTCATTGAGTTCAGATAAATTACAATCAATTCAGTGAAAAAAATAAATTATTCTAATGGATTTGATGTGTGTTTGTATTCACTTTACTGAGTTGATGAGTCAAATTGCTTGTATGGATAGACATCACTGAATCAATTAATGTATTTTCAAAAATGAATTAATAAATTGGAAATTAAACTCACATTTTTGTATATAGAAGCAGAGGACTGGAGAGCAATATTTTCATTTTCAGAGCATGGCTTTTTAAATGTGTATATTAAAACAAACATACATTATTTACAACTTTTTCTTTAGTCTGTAGAGTAGAGAGAAGTAACTCATTACGCAAGTATAAAAATGGGGTTTCTCTTGTTGAGGAAGAAGAGAGGTAAACTCTATTTGAGGCCTATTAGGTATTATGCAAAAATTAAAATGTAGAGCATCCAACCTCACAGGCTGTATGTCTGTGTTTGTGTTTGTGTATATATAGACATATATATCCCTACAAAGGACATAAAAGTATATTTAATTATTTTGAACTTATGCATGTTCTTTTGTTTCACAGTAGTTGAATTGAAATATACTGGCCATGCTTTTAAGTCTCTTACTTTCAGGAGCAAATTATTTATCAATAATTTATGCACTCATGGCTTGCAATTTGATCTCCTGCAAATTTGGACAGATCATAGCCATTATAAACAACAGGTAAAATACGTTAGAGACAATAGCATAATACTTGCTGTCAAAATTATCAGAAATCAGTGACTAGGATTGTCTGGTCTTAAAGTTTTTTCTACAAAGTGAAAGGTCAGAGTTTTATGTGAATATGTTTTTAAGCGATGACATTTTTGTTGCAGTAAATGTCATGTTCATATCTTTCTGTCTCTTTCTCTCTCTCTTTTTTTTTTTTTTTTTTTTGTAAGACGGGCTCTTTTATAGTTCATAGGTGGACCAAAAAACATGTTGAATATATTGATTTTATACTTTATTATCTCAAGAGTATATTACTCTCTATGGCTTAAGTAGTGGATATCCCATAATGCTTTTTAAAACACAGTATTTTAATCATTATGAAACTCAGTTGAGAAGACTGTCAAAATTAAAATTACAGTGTACACTGGTGGAATACTTAGTTTCCATTTTGGTAACAGAAATGGATACCTTCCTTTACTGCCGTGCTGGTTTTCTGCACATGCCAGTTTGAATATGTGCTTTTAAAGACTATTCCTTCTAGAAAGTTAGTTACATTTTAGACAAAGAGAACAGATAGAACATTATGAGGGTTCAGATGCTGGATTAAGAATACCTAAAACTGGCCAGGCTTAGTGGCTCACGCCTGTAATCCCAGCACTTTAGGAGACCGAGGTGAATGGATCACCTGAGGTCAGGAGTTTGAGACCAGCCTGGCCAGCGTGGTGAAACCGTCTCTGCTAAAAAATACAAAAGTTAGCTGGGCGCGGTGGCAGGCGCCTGTAATCCCAGCTACTCAGGAGCCTGAGGCAAGAGAATCATTTGAGCCCAGGAGGCAAAGGTTGCAGAGAGCCGAGATTGTACCATTGCACTCCAGCCTGGAAGGCAGAGCAAAACTCTGTCTCAAAAAATAAAAAAATAAAAAATAAAATAAAATAAAAAAAACCCTAAAACTCTACTCTTGAGTTCTGTCATTAAAAATGACATTTCAAAATATCATAAATTCAGGTTAATTAATTTACCAGTGGCATTTTATCTCAGAATATACATTATCCTTTTAAACGCCAAAAAGCAAACCAACATACCAAACACGCTTTGTCTTTGATTATGAAATACCAGCCACTCTTTTGCAGGGCATCTCCCAGGAAATTTAGCCATGACATTTTTCATAGTGAGATCTATTAATATCATTTCTTCTCATCCTCCTTCTCTCTGACCAAAGTCAGCATTGCCCGATTATTTAATATGCTAGTTTTGGTTTGTGGTTTTTTGTTCGTTTGTTTGTTTCACATTTCTTTCCTAGGACTGCCATGACAAAGTGCCATAAATTGAGTGGCTTCAACAGAATTTTTTTTTTTTTGAGACAGAATTTTGCTCTTGTTGCCCAGGCTGGAGTGCAATGGCACAACCTCAGCTCACTGCAACTTCCACCTCCTGGGTTCAAGCAATTTTCCTGCCTCAGCCTCCTGAGTAGCTGGGATTACAGGTGCCTGCCGCCACGCCCAGCTAATTTTTTGTATTTTTAGTAATGATGGGGTTTTACCATATTGGCCAGGCTGGTCTCAAACTTCTGACCTCAGGCGATCCACTCGCCTCTACCTCCCAAAGCGCTGGGATTACAGGTGTGAGCCACCATGCCTAGCCTCAACAGAAATTTATGTTCTCACAATTCTGGATGCTGAACCTTTAAGCGGAAGGGGTCAGAAGGGCGGGACTCTCCTCCAAGCCTCCCTCCCAGGCTTGCAGATGTGGCCCCCACTCAGGGCGTGCCTGTGTCTTAATCTCCTTTTCTTAGAAAGACATCAGTTATATTAGATCAGGACCCACCCATACTACCTCGTTTAACCTTAGTTATGTCTTTAGGGACCCTCCCTCTCTCTCTTTAAAGTCACATTTCCAAGCCCAGAGGGTTAGGACTTCATAGGACTTCAATGTGTAAATTTGAGGGGGACCCAGTCTAGTCTATAACAGTCTTACTTGAAAAAAATCATGAGAACTGCTCTGATTGGGAGTTACACGGTGAGTGGAGTATGGTTTCTCAGTATCTTTGCACAAATAAAATTTTAGGTATAACAACAAAGACAGCTGTCACTTTACTTCATAGCATTTGTATTATGAACAACAATGAGAGCTGCATTCTCCCAGTCCATAATGTGTTCCCTAGGAGTGAACTGTGAAATGCAAAATGCCATGAACGCTTTTACGAGTATGAGATAATGCTGAGCTCATTACAGAGTAGCGTTGTTGGCAAGCCCCAGTGCCATGAAGCAATTTCTCCTGAAAAATGGTTTTGGGTTATGGTGATGAGGGCAATGCCGGGTGACTCTCCACTGTGCTTTCTTTTCTTACCTATACTTTCAATGTTAACTTTGTTGTCTCAACGTTTTTAAAACAATTTCAAATACCATAGACAGGTGAAAAATGAAAAAACTAGATATGAATTTCAGGGCTTTGTCAAATTTACTTTAGGCCCTCATCTTATAAAGAAGCAATGTGTACAGGTAAATTTAGAAGCTTCACCCATATCCAATTCCACTTGTGCCTCTCCTAGAGGAAGTTAGTATTCTGAAGTTGGAGTTGCATGGGTCATGGTTATGCATGTTTTATAATTATTTGTGTATCTATCGTCCACAGATACACATGTTATATGTTGCATTTTTTATTTTTTGTATAATTGTTATCCTATTATATTTATCTCTAAATATATATTTTTAGTAATAATCTGTTATGTTAAGAATTACCTATGTGGATATGTGTATATCTAGTTTGTTAATTTTAATGCTGTATGAATCTAATTCTTTTTCATGGAATCTTCAATTCTTTTTTTAAAACTCCAAATTACTAGTTTGATCTAAAATTTGCCATGAGAAATAGTGTTAGAATACACATGTTCACTATATAAATAATACTTGCGTACATGTGCTAGGGTTCATAGAAATATAATTAAACCTTCAATTTTACTGGATATTACCAAACAGCCCTCCAAAGTGATTCTACTACTTTACGCTTCCACTAGTATTACATGAAAGTTTCTATTTTCCTGTGTAAGTACAATATTGTAAATACTAACAACAATACATATTACTTTCATTTTTTTCGGGTACTGCTGTTTTATAGACAAGGCTTATTTAAATATGACACCATTAATAGCATATGCACCTGAAATTCTTTTTGTACATTATTGTCTTATTTTTATCAGAAAATATATCTGTCACTATAGCCATTTGGAATTTGTTGTCCACTTTTGTAATAATTATATCTGTGTATTGCACACGTAGACTCCAGTGTAATCAAAAGCTAAACCTAGTATGCATTTGGTAGGTGCTCACTCATCTCTGAATGTTTTTGTTTTTCTGTTTCACTTAGGTTCTTCTGGGCAAAGTCCTCTGCTAGTAGTCTTAAGTGGGAATCATACTGAACAATCAAATTTTACAAGCAGGAGTAATCAGTTATATCTCCGCTGGTCCACTGACCATGCCACCAGTAAGAAAGGATTCAAGATTCGCTATGCAGGTAAGTAAATGAGGTTTAGATTTTATATGAAAGTATTTTAAAACAGGTGATTTTCATTGAATAAAACAATTTAAATAGAAATTTATAGTATAATCCTAATTCTTAAAGATTAATAATTAACTACAGTAGAAATATATGATGGGTAATTATTCTGAATGATTCCTCTAAACTACATTAGGAAATTTGTTGCTTAATATTTAGAATTTTATTGTTAAAATTATAAACTGCTGAAATTCATATTATAGAAAGCAAAGACATTTTCCAAAAGATAAACTAATATAATCAAAATTAATTTTAAAATATGTTTAAATGGTAAGCAAACAAATAGAAAAAGATAATTGTATTTCTATTAATTGCATAAGTGATGATAATCTCTTACTATTAATAGTTATGTTTTTGTATCTATCTGCAGGTCTCTTTATGTATGTTTCACACTACATATATGTGTATATATATATTTGTACAAATAACCATATACATAATAAATATATGTTTAATATATATTCCTCATCAAAATGTAAATTATTTTGCCCTTTATATACTGTAATCATTCTCTGCCAGCAGTGATTTATATTAACTAAATCAATTAGTAACAAATTGATCAAATCAGTCAATATATTTATTAGACATTAAATCCTGTATACAATCATCAGTAGGATCTGACCACACTATTCTTTAAACTTTCCTACAGAAGCAGTAGGCAGACTCTTAATTCCTGAGCACATTTCAATTACTAAGCAGAAAATCTAAACTTTTCTCAAAATCTCACTCAGCAATGCCCTTGACAGCTTTCAAGTTATGTTTTCCCGTGAAAGATGCTCATTGTGTATGGGAAGTGAACAATATGTGCTGACGGAGGATTGTTTATTACTGTGTTGGTGTTTTACGTCTTTAGGGACTACGAGCGTCCAAAGGGAAAACCAGGAAACAGTGTTAAAACAGCAGTTGTAAGAATAAGGTTTTAGCTCACTCTGGTTGGTAGACATATAAAATGGTAAAAAGCATCAAGATTTTGAAAGGCCCTTGATGTGAGGATAACAGGCAAGAAATTCAGATATTCTTCCTCTGGAAGGTTTAATAAAATATACTCAGACCTTTGCTGCAAAGACATCGATGCAATGATGGGATTTGCATTCAGCAAACTCCTTGTTCCAAAAAATAGATAGTCAGACTCTTTTTTTTTTTTTTTTTTTTTTTTTGAAATACAGTCTGGCTCTGTTGCCCAGGCTGGAGTGCAGTGGTGCGATCTCGGCTCACTGCAAGCTCCGCCTCCCGGGTTCAGGCCATTCTCCTGCCTCAGCCTCCCGAGTAGCTGGGACTACAGGCGCCCGCCACCGCGCCCGGCTAATTTTTTTGTATTTTTTTAGTAGAGTCGGGGTTTCACCGTGTTAGCCAGGATGGTCACGATCTCCTGACCTTGTGATCCGGCCGCCTCGGCCTCCCAAAGTGCTGGGATTACAGGCGTTAAGCCACCGCGCCCGGCCGATAGTCAGACTCTTAAAGGTGTTTGAATTTTTCCAATGTGGAAACATGGTCAGCTCAGAGAAAATCATGATGAACATAATTTATCTTGTTTTACCTGCAGAGAAATTCTTAGTAGCCTGGTGATATGATTATATCCTCAATTGTGAGAACAATGATTTCTACGTCTTTCAAAAGGTATTTTATTTGTTGTCATACCACAAGGAGAGCCTCATTGTTAAACTGTATTGGGAGAAGAAGAATACACAATTTTATGTTGTTTAAGTGGAGAGAGAGAGAGAAAGAGAGGCAGATAGATAGACACGTGTCATATGTGAATATAAAAAATTCTTTATCTATCTCACAGCTTTTTACTTAGAATTGATGACTCAGTGATCTCTGCTAGGTCAGCATCAGTAATTTTTGAGCATTGATTAAATGAAAGTGTCCCTAAAATATTAACATGTGGCCAAGGGAACTCTAGCCCATGATATTGTCACATGACCACACGTTGCATCCCCAACATGTATTTGCCCTATGCACGTAAACTCTTGATCATTCAGGCATAAAAGCAATATAATGAATCATCATAATTGGAAATCCGAGTTAAAAACGACAAAGAAATGCCTGCGAACAGTGGTTCTGGACAATTCCGTAAACTGTGCTAAGCGCAGGCTGAATTAACAATGTCCTTTTCATACTATGAGAAGCAAATGAAAGCTTCTGTATTGGGCGGGTTGAAAGTACAGACTGGTTTGGCATTCACACCGAAATTCCAGAATATCCACCTGTCCCAGTCTTCTCTCACCTGGGTACCCATTAGACTTTTCATTCTATATCCCAGCTTTTCCGAGGCTGCACCAGCAGAGTGGAAGGACCAGGCCCTGCTCCTCTGAATTCCTCTTCCTGCAGCAGGAGTTGGGCTGGCAGGGCCCCTGCTCCAGTCTCTCTTTGTATTCTGTGCTATGGTTTCCCCTGTAGGGCCCTTCATGTCTTATCCTAAGTGAGTTAGGAAAGAAGAGGTATGTTGAGGGGCTGGTGAGAGAAGAAACACAGTAAAAGAAAACGGAGCCTTATTGGAATCTGTAGAGTTAGAGCCTCATGGTCTCACTTCCTGCAAACTTTATTTAACTTATCTATGACTTTGGAGAGGAATCTACAGTCTGATTGTTCCTTCTATTTTTTATTAACTTTTTTTTTTTTTTTTTTTTACTAGCACAGTGATTCCAAGCCATTGATATTCAGGGTGCCTGATTGTACTCATACTTTGTCTAAACTAAGTATTTTGGTTCATTCAAAACTTAGAAGAATTTGGTCTAGAAATAACTGGAGGTAGAACATGGTGTGGCCAATGGAGCTGTGAATCAAGAGATTCTTATGGTAGTGGATTTTCAGTTAAGAAAAATCAGCCCATTAAAAAAAAGGAAATGGTACTTCAGAGGCTCACCCAGCTGAGAATATTTTCTGAGGACACTTCTCGTAGGAACATGGTTGACAACTGAGGCCAGACACATAGATGTTGCTTCTGGGCACCACTATGATAGAAAACCTTCAGAAGGTTTCTTCTGAATGTATTTCCAAGGAAAGGAGCAATGTTAAGCATTCAGACCTGCGTGTGTGTGCTTTTATATGGAAGCCCCAGAGGGAAGTGGAAGATCTAAAATTCTTTAAAAAGAAACTGAGAATTCCCAGTTCTTAAGGACCTTCTCTGTTGTATTGTTTAAATTCATCTGAAGTGAGTTCCTAGGATTTTGTGTAGTAGTGACCTCGCCTTATGCAGTAGTGACCTAGCCTTGTGCAGATGAAGCAAGTTTCTTTGTCTAAACGTGTAAATAAGATGCAGAGACTTTTAGCCATAAATATGACATTCTGTGTGGGTAAAATTATTATTTTAACAAATGCCCATCTCTAGTTTTAAAATGTCTCCTTACAAAGAGGGATGATTAAAGCTATTGTGAGATTGTAATTGACTCAAGAGAATGCATTTTCTTCAAAGATTTCATTCAAATCCCATATGCTAAAAAAGAAGGTTAATATCTACATCATTGTACAGTCCAGAAGTTTCACTGAACAGTCAAAAGGAAAGAAATTAATGGCCTTGATTAAGAAAATGTTATATATTTCTACTTTCTCTGTTTTAACAACACTTAAAAAACACGCAGAATATTTTTGTTTCAAATATGATGTCTTGTGCAGTACCCTATCACTTTTATCCTGGTGACAGATGTGCTTATTTAAGTCAGTAAGCTGCTTTAGAGAGGTGAGTGAGGTCATTCAAAATGATCCCTCTAGACCAAGTCAACCTGCAGCCTGTGGGCTGCATACAGCGCAGGATGACTTTGAATGCTGCCCAACACAGATTTGTAAACTTTCTTAAAACATTATAAGATTTTTCTGCAGTTTCTTTTATAGCTCCTTAGCTATCATTAGTGTTAGTGTGTTTTATGTGTGGCCCAAGACAATTCTTCTTCCAGTGTGTCCCAGGGAAGCCTAAAGATTGGATACTCTTGATGTTTCTCACAGTACTGTATTCAGGATCCTAGCTTCACATTGACTCAGAGCTGCAGATCATCTCAACTTCAGAGTAAGAGACTTGCCTCTTAGACTCTCAAGTTTTGGAATGCTCTTTAGAACAAACTTACATACTGGTGCTCATTTCCTACCTTTTGGAAATGAGAAGCCATTCATTTATAGACTCTCACAAAGGCAATGGCACTGGCCATTTGTTTGCTTGTTGACTTATTTCTGTGTGTGTCTGTCTGCCCACAGCACCTTACTGCAGTTTGACCCACCCCCTGAAGAATGGGGGTATTCTAAACAGGACTGCAGGAGCGGTTGGAAGCAAAGTGCATTATTTTTGCAAGCCTGGATACCGAATGGTCGGCCACAGCAATGCAACCTGTAGACGAAACCCACTTGGCATGTACCAGTGGGACTCCCTCACGCCACTCTGCCAGGGTAAGAAATGCGTTTTCATCCCCAGCCTTGTTTCCTGTGTATTGCTCTCATTTTAATCACTCTCTGAAAATAAATGAAGCACTAACTAAGAATAAAAGGTAAGGAAAAATTGAATGTTGGCTTATAACAGTACGAATTAAACCTTCTAGTGGCCATGCAAACTTTCCTGACATGTAGTTGTATAGCCTGAATTTGGAGAAGGGTTGGACATTCACTAGATCCTGGGTCAAGTTATTCTAACAGTTGTACTTCCTCTTGAAGTAAAAAACATGTCATCCAATTTAAGATTCAAAATAATTTTTCTTTACCATTGTATTAATTTAAAAACATTAATTTCTGGAAAACTCATTTTCTTTATTTTAGTTTAAAAACTCATTCTTTGAGCCCTAAGCTCTGTATTTGATTTTGTTTTGTTATTTAAATCTAGAGCTTGTTAAAGTTGATTTCAGTATTTCATGCCTTTTTTTTGGCATTTTATCTATCATGTGCATAAAAATCAGGTTTTCAAATAACACATTTTAATTTTAATTGAAGGCTTTGAAGTCATGAAATTTTCATAGTTTTATCTTATCAAGGTTTATATTCATAATGAATTATATTAGTCTTTGAAAGCTAATTATGATTTATGAGTGAAAGCTCATATAGGCTCTCTTTTTTGTCAGTTTCATTAGATATTAGATTTTCTGGTATTGCTTTGTGAGACAGTAATAGATACTTATCACAGTTATTGTAGGTGCCTTTGACTGTAAGAAGTTGATCAGACAGCCTGTATTATTTATGTTTTACCTCTACTGTATTATTTATGTTTTACCTCTAAAAATTCGTATTTAATGTAAAATAAACATAGAGATAGACTCAAGCAGCTTACTTCATTAGGAATGATTAGAATGATAATTTTTTTTTCTTTACAAGAATACTTTTTCTTTTAGAAGAAGATATATTTCTCATTTGCTTTAAATGTTCTATGACTCTGTTTATAGAACAGAGTCGTAGAATCTGTTGCTGAAGAGACCCAACTTCAGCTCAGAGAACACGCCATGGTCTGTGCCCCACTAGCACTGGCTAATGACAGAACCACAGCCCAAACGGCAGCCTGGACACAGGAAAGGGATTCGGTGGAATGGGCAGAAACTCCTGAAGTCATTTCCTGTCCTCTAGAGGTGGAGTCAAAATAGAGCCTAAAGAGAGTGTGCTCTCCAGGCCTAAGCACAAAGGGGTCCGGAGAGGGACCTTCATGTCCCAAAGGGATTCGGGTGATGCCAGGCACATGCTAGTCCATCTTTCTGATGGATATGCAAGGAGTTCTGGAAACGGATTATGAGGTGGAGACATGGCTTACCCTTTCAGTGAATGGTTGAGAAGGATTAAAGGATGTCACATATATAGGTTTGGGATAAGTCTTGACTTCTTTCTTCTCCCATGGCCTCCCCACACCCCAGCAGAACTATTTAATGCTAAGTTAAATGATTCAGAAATACAAATAGTGCACACTGCAAATGAGGCTCTTCTGACATCTTTACAGCTGTGGCCAAGGAATCTGTGGGAACATGATCAGGGTATCTCTTCTTTGTGTGGAACATGGCAGAGAGGCAATGGCTTTGTGTATATGGGATGCTAGAATGCACACCATGTTTTGGAAGAAGAGTTAGACTACCTTCCTTCAGATTTATTCTTGGCAATAAATAACTTACACGACTTTGTTCTCAAATTATAAAATATTTAAGAAGTATCATTTTTCTAAAACAGATCTGTGACTTTCTACACTTCCTGTTAACCTTTCTGTTAACCTGGGAGTCAATATGGTTTTGTTTTTTTCTTCATGCATTTTGACCTTTAAACTTGGAGGGATCTTAAAAACAATCCAGTTGAACTACTTATTTTTATGTATTTGAAACTGAAACACATAAAAGTTAAGGGACTTCATAATCATAAAAATGTTGATCTAGAATTCAGTCTTTCTGTGAGCCTGACCATTGTTAAAGTGGAATTTTCCTTGCCAGAAGAAATTATACTTAAAATAGAATCTCGCAAATACTAATTCTGAAAGAATCTATATTTTAAGCACTTAAATTCATTTCCTGTGCAAGACTTCTTTTAGTCACCTTTTAGATATTTACAATTTGTGTAAAATAGCATTTTAATTATAATATAAAATTATTTTCATTATATATATAGATTATAATGCTTAAAACAAAACAAAATGTAGCAAAAAGTAGGATTTTTGAACATTAAAGTTGTGTGGTACAATTAAATCAGCATTTTTATCATTTTAAAGACAAAATTAAACCTTTAAAATGAAGAGTAAAAATGATTATCTGGATAAAGGCCATTGGGAAGGAATTATAAAAGTTTTAAATAGCATAAGGTTGTACAACATATATTGGCAATTTATGCCCCAACAGTTTTTGCTTATGCTTAAAGAATTGTTAAAGGTGATTTAGCTATATTAAATATAAAATATAAATGTGTGATTTTTGTAGTGTGCAACAAAGAGAGATTTTATTTGTTTAGTATTAATTACACACTTTCCTTTTGTTACTTTTAGAATGTAGATTTTTTTTTTTTTTTTTTTGAGACGGAGTTTTGCTTTTGTTGCCCAGGGTAGAGTACAATGGATGTGATCTCGGCTCACGGCAACTTCTGCCTCCCAGGTTCAAGTAATTCTCCTGCCTCAGCCTCCCAAGTAACTGGGATTACAGGCACCCACCACCATAGCCGGCTAATTTTTTGTATTTAGTAGAGATGGAGTTTCACCATGTTGCTCGGGCTGGTCTCAAACTCCTGACCTCAGGTGATCCTCCTGCCTCAGCCTCCCAAAGTGCTGGGATTACAGGCATGAGCCACCCTGCCCAGCTCTAGAATGTAGATCTTTTACACGCTGTATATACTTCCCTAAGTTGTAGAAACACTTTGGCCTCATATGACAGAAAGAGACTTTGTGGGTTTTCAGCTGCTTTTCTTTGGCAAATTGCATATGGTGTGTTGTGGATTATGCTAGAAACCTTCTCCCATCCACTCACAGATATGTTGAGCAGTTGTGTGTACTGACCCAAGGAGAAATGACAACAACAACAACAAAAAGATTTGTTTCCTTCCAAGGGATTCACAGTGTAATAACGAAAAATAGAATGTAGGCTGGGTGCAGTGGCTGACACCTGTATTCCAAGCATCTTTGGGAGGCCAAGGTGGGTGGGTGGATTGCTTGAACACAGGAGTTCAGGCCAGCCTGGGCAACATGGTGAAACCCTGTCTCTACAGGAAATACAAACATTAGCCAGATGTGGTGGTGTGCACCTGTAGTCCCAGCTGCTTGGGAGGCTGAGATGGAGGGATGACTTGAGCCCAGGCAGGAGGCAGAGGCTGCAGTGAGCCGAGATCACGGCACTGCACTCCAGCCTGGGAGACAGAATGAGACCAAAAAAAAAAAAAAAAAAAAAAAAAAAAAAAATATATATATATATATATATATATATATATATATATATAAAAATTATGGTAACTGTCACCGTGGATGGAGAGCATGACCTGGAATATAGAGTTGCACATTTGGCTGTGTATAACAGATTAAGCGACTTCCTTACTGATGTGCAAATAGGACCCTTTGATGACTGCCTCAAAAATATATATAATCAGAAAAATTAAAAAAAATTATAGATTCGAAAAGTTATTTTGAGGCTGAAATACTTTAAAAAGAAGAAAGCACTCTGATTATCAACGATGTGTTGCTCTTTTCCTCTGGTGTTAAAAATAAAATATTAAGGGAACCCTATTTTCTATTTGGTTCTTGGAATCTTAATTAGTAATTTTAATTTACAAGCAGAGATATATGACACTTAGAGAATTTTATTTTCAGTTCTAAGAAAATTGAAGACATGTTCTGTCTTTTTAAAAAAACTAGCATTTTTGTTTAAAGAGAGTTAATATATAAGGAAGAATCGTCACCGTTTATGTGATCCTGAATTGCTGACAATTCATAATTATGAAATAAAAATAAATAAAAGAAAAGAAAAATGAAATATGAAACAGAAGACTAGGTGAGCTCTTTCTTTAAAATGTTTAGAACTCCACGTGGGAAAAACAATTTTCAAAAACCCCAGCTAAATTAACACATCACCACGTCTTCGCCACCCAAATCAGCACAGAAGTTTTCATGATTTTATTTTTCCCGCAGATGTTCACATTCGATATAAAGCTGGGACATGAGAATCTCCACATAGCACATCTGTAGGGATAGAGTTACAGGTTT